>NC_000002.12:19630967-19782482 GCF_000001405.40 Homo sapiens | reverse complement strand
TTCATATCACTATCAGCATTTTTGTCAAAGCCATTCAACAAGTCTCTAGGAAGTTTAAAACTTTCCCACATTTTCACGTCTTCTTCTGAGCCCTCCAAACTTTTCCAGTCTCTGCCTGTTACTCAGTTCCAAAGTTGCTTCCACATTTTCAGATATCTTTTCAGCCACACCCCACTCTACTGGTACCAATTTACTGTATTAGTCTGTTTATGTCTTCTGATAAAGACATACTAGAGACTGGAAAGAAAAAGAGGTTTAATTGGACTTACAGTTCCACATGGCTGGGGAGGCCTCAGAATCATGGCGGGATGGGGGGCAAAAGGCACTTCTTACATGGCAGCAGCAAGAGAAAATGAGGAGGATGCAAAAGCAGAAAGCGCAGATAAACCCATCAGATCTCGTGAGACTTATTCACTACCACAAGAACAATATGGGGGAAACTGCCCCCATGATTCAAATTATCTCCCATTGGGTCCCTCCCACAACATGTGGGAATTATGGGAATACAATTCAAGATAAGATTTGGGTGGGGACGCAGCCAAACCATATCATTACTATACCCTGGGAGAGTTACTAGCAGGAAGAGACAGTCCACCACAAAGACACCTCCATTCTGGATGGGAAGACTGAATCTGCTAGTACAAAAAGTTTGCACAGTTTTGCAGCTAACTTCCATGACTCTCATTTCTCATGTGAGAATCCTCTACTTCTCGATCTTGACATATCCAATGACCTCTGAGGCTCACCCGGTTAATCTCAGAGCCTTGACCTTTTCCTGTGGCTCTTTAGAATGAGAGAAGAGCTGAGTGCAGTTTGCACTCTCCTTCACATCTTTATCAGTAAACATGCAGGAAGCATCACCGTGTCTAGGCACCACGGAGGCCACTGTGCCCCAGGCAGACACAGGTCTTCCCTCTATAAGCCTGAGGTGTGGCAAGGTCAGCAGCCTGGAGGAGTGAGAAGCAGGGTGTGAGGGTGTAGGGTGAGGCCAGAGAACTGAAGAGGACCCCTACCCTAATCCAGGAGGTCACGAAAGGCTAGCATATCACCAGGGAGCCCAGAAAAGGGGCAGAGTGTTTTGCAGCAGTGGGAACAGCAGAGCAAAAGTGCCTGGACAAGAACAGGCATGGTGGGTTCAAGAAACTGAGAGATTTAAACAGCTGGAGCTCTGGGGGCCAGGGAGAGAGTGGTCTATATGAAGTTGGAGAGGTAGGCAGAGAGTACTTTATCCTGTGGGAAGCCCTCTCCTCCATTCCAGTCCCCATCAGAAAGAAGAGCCCATGAAGGTAATGCCAGCTGGCAGTGAGCACCAAAGACAAGGACGAAAAGCTACTGCCTAAATGCACAGGTGATCTGTTGCCATGGGCATTGCCTTGGGCTCCCCAACTACTGGTCCTAAAGCCATGAAGCAGAATCTGTCTATAGGGCCAGCTGGCATCCTCCTTCCACAGCCTGTCATGGTAAGTACCAGATTTATCTCCGACCCTACCTCTAGGCATCTCAAGCACCCTAATGGGAAGAATTTTTTTTTTTAAATAAGGCCAAAAGCCAGCTTTTAATCTATGAATAGAATCCTTTCAATCTATGGGTACAATCAGCTTCTCCATACCGTTTTGCCCACCCACCCCCATTTTCTGTTTTCCCCTTAATTATATCTAAAGTTATGTAAGGGTTTCTCCCAAATACAATTTATGGAGAGTTGATTTTGGAAATGAATTCTGTTTGCTCAGATAAGGGTAACCTGGCAAAGAGACATTGAGAATAATCTTAAAATTGGACATTTTGTGACCTGTTTTTTGCCTAGAAAAACTAGCCTGATTCAGCTCCATTTAGCAGATGGGTAAAGAGAGTCATGTTGCCTTGAATCCTTTCTGTGCTCACGGAGGTGGCCCAGGGTGTGATGCCCTGTCCTTTGCTGGAACCTCCTCTAGACTGAAGCTCATCCCATATCTTGTGTTTGTGATCAGCACTTCCAATCCTCTTTGCCCTGAGTAGTATTTGATTGTAGAATAGGGAGGAGGGAAGCCCAGGTAAGGGCCCCTGTGAGCAAAGGTGTGCGGGCTGGAAGGGATTGGTGTGTCAGGAACAGTCAAGAGGCCAGTTTGCTGGTGCAGAGACACATGTAAGGCAATAGGGAGATAAGGAAGGTGGAGGCCAGATCCCAGAAGGCCTTGAATTGCAGGCTAAGATATTTGGACTTTATCTTCTGGGTAACAAGGAATAATGGAGGCCTTTAAGGAGAGGGTGACAAAAGTGAAAAGGTGTGGGCTGAGAGCAGTGGCGCTGTGCCTTCCTACCTGCAGGCGTTGCTGTGGGGTTGGGTGATTGTGAACTGGGCAAATACCTCAAAAGTTTGAACAGGCGTCCCATGCCCCAGGGTCCAACTATGTGCCAGCAACTCCTAAATTCTTCCATTTTCTGAATTTGAAACTCGCATGACAGTTGCCTTCTTAGCATCTCCACTTCGAAGTCTCACAGGCTCAAACTTAAGAGGCTCCAAAGGAAGAACTTGCTATTCTCTCTCAAACCTGCTCCACCTCAGTCTCAGTCTCAATAAATGGCATCTCTAATTGCCCAGCTACTCCGCTGGAAAACTGAGGCATCATCCTCCCTGCTTCCCCCTTGGTTGTCCTCATACTCATTCATCACCAATTCTGTTGATGCTATCTTCAAATATTTTCAAACTTATCCATTTCTTTACTATGGTCCCTACCTTAGCCTAGCTGCCATCATCTCTCTCTCGAACTTCTCTGCAACTTACTGATCTCCTTGATTCTATTTTAGAGCCCCATCCAACCTACCGTCCCCAAGCAGCCAGACTGATGGTTACATAAATAAATTGTCATGTAACTTCTCTGTGTAGAGTCCCTTTTTGGCTTCCCTTTGCACGAGGACAAAATGTGCAGCCCTTGCTATGGCCTCCAAGGCTTCATTCTGGTGGTCCAGACTCCTCTTTGACCCCCTCTCTTGCTGCTCTTCTCTTTGCAAATGATGCTTTGTTCCACGGCTCCTTTCAGGGGCAGGATCCTCCTTTTGGCTTTAAGGTCTTTTTGCCTTGAGCCACGCTCTCCCCCACACCAACCCTACTTGTCTTCACATCTCAGGATAAGTAGCATTTCTGCAAGGGGCTTCCATGACACCCTAATCCTGAGCAGTTTTTCTGTTGTTGTCCTCTCCTATAGAGACCCGTTCTTTTCCTTTGAAATCCCGATCACACTTTGTGGTTCTTTTGTGCCTCCTTGTTTAAAGCCTGTCTGCCCCACTAGACTGTAAGCTCCCTGAGAGCAGGGAGCACAACTGTATTGTTCATTAGTGCGAGTTGGAGCCTGGTTAGTGCCTGACATGTGGGACATATTTACTAAATAGTGAATGATTGAATGAATGAATGGTGCTCTGCTACCATTCTGTGATCAACATGATCCTTCTCTCATATCCCAAGATTTTGTGGGCAGGGGAAGGAGGAGCTGAAGGTTGAGGATGATGGCTCGGGAGACAGTGATCACAAATAACTTACCATTGCTCAGCAGGAAGGTGCTGGGTCTCTAGCCCACACAGACCCCTAAAGACCCCTTTAGTACCCTGTGATGGAAATGGCATCTAGGTGCTCTCACCAAAGTCCCTCTTCACCTGCAGCCCAGATGCTGAATTACCCAAATGATTCAGGGGTCAAGGGCTCACTCCCAGTGGCTTATGGAGAAGTGGCTAAGCCTGTACTCACCTGTTTTCAAACAGCAATTCCCATCTTTGTATCAGGAAAGTAAGTCCACAGAAGGCCCGTGTAGGCTGTCAAAAGAGTAAGTCCATCAACCATGCTTTTTCTATTATGACTTGAGATTCTATCAATTTTCTAACTTGTGCATATGGATAAATTCATATTAATAATAATAATCAGAATTTTACTAACCTTCCCATCTGTTTATAGGGTCTTGACTCCCTTGCAAAGTTTCCACTGAATATTTCTGGATTCCCCTGGATGTCTCTTGTGTGCTCCTGAGCATGTCTGGTAGCCACTTTGTGCTTCTGTTTCTTCCAGGAACTGCCTCCCCATCACTGAGTTTCCCTCCCACCATGGGGTCCTGGCATGCCATCTGAACATGGCTTTGGACTCTGTTGTCATCTTCTGTGGGCTCCACAGTCTCCCGTGGTCACTCCTGCTACCTGACTCCTCTCATCAGGAACTGTGGTCCTTGTTAGCTGCAGCACTGATGCGCAGGGGCCCTCCTAGCCTGAAACTGAAGGCTGGCCTGTGCCCTTTCCAGTTACCAGCTTGTCTTAAAAAGTTTAAAGACAACAGACATAAATCTGTAGGACTAGATGGGGAAGAGATCTGAGGATCAGAGCCAGAGTACATTCAGAATCACTCCTTTGCTAAGATGTGGAAATTTCATATCTAAGTCTCCATTGCTGAGTCTTGCCTTAGGATGAATTCTCTTCCCGAAAGAAATTCAGTTCTTTATGCAGTTAGAGTTCTGAGAATTCTGCCCTGAACATGTCTGGATTCCCACATAGGCTTCAGCCGGGACTCTTGCTATTCACCATTGCGGTCCAGAAGAAGCTAAGTTCAGGGATCCTGGGCATTGAAGATAATACCCATGCTGTGGGCTGAGAAATTGGTCTTGACTGCCTGCTGTCTGGGGGAAGACACCATGTAGATGAGGCAAACTGGTTCTTCTGTAAATCTCTTTGTACTTGGCTTGCACTGCTGGAATCAACCTGAGGAATTAGGATTCCATGACTCTTGTTTCCCCCTTAGCAAACACATGTTTTGCATTCTTATCATGTCCAGCCATCTTCTGTTCTACCTTTATGATTTCTTACCTGGAAGTACAACATGCAGGAAAATCAAATATTCCTAAGTACAGTTGGAATGTCCCTTGGGAAGCTGCAGGAGTCCAAGGAGATGTCATAGATTTTTGTCTTAAGTAGATTACAGCCTGAGAGCCCTCCAAGTTGTCTCTGGAACTTGAGCTATAAACATCTCCCAACAAGACGCACACAGCTTGGCATCTGTAGGGGAGCACAAGACTGTAGTAATGATTGGCAGATAGCTTTGGGGCTGGTGGGGATTTTTGGATCTGACCCACTGATCCAACAGCAGGCCTGGGATTCTGTAGCTGGTTGAATGGGCAGGTGGTTTGGCACTGCTGTGGTGCGCAGTCATGCCTGAGAGTGGATCACCTGCTGCAGCTGGCACGGTGTCCTCAAGGCTCTTCCACGGGCTGGAGACACCTTTGCTTGGCTCACTTTCGTTGGCAAAGCTGATGCACATGGAATGTTTCCTTCAGAGTTAAAGGCTGTTATCTTGCTAGGAGAGGGCCAAGAGTTTTCTGTGTGTTTCCAGCCCACGAGGGAGAGTTCTTTAAGGCATCACTCCCATGCTGCTGAAATCATGCTGGGCTGTGGCTAGTAATTCAGTTCAACACCCCTGGAACTTCCTCCTTGGTGCCAGACACTGAGCCAGACCACAGGGAAACAGAGGTGGTGAAGATGTGGTTCCTGCCCTCAAGACCACCTTGGTCAGAACATAGAATGGGGTGCAGCCTGGTATCCACTTTCATCTACTTTTGTTAGGCCAGAAACTCTTTTGAGAGTCTGATGAAAACAGTGGATCCTCTGTAAAAATGTACAAATACACTCCCTCCCCACGGCATTTTACATGCCAGAGCAGGGATCCCTGAAGTCAGAACCTCAGTTTGAAAAGTTCATCCTAGAGGACAGATTGGTGGAGTGGCTGGAAGGACATCTGTCTGTGGGCTTTTGTTTTATTCCTGGCAAGGGAGAAGTTGACCCAGAAATACAGTGGCATTGGGATGGAGAGGCTTGAAATAGAATTCACGGAGGGTGAAGGCCAAGGAGACTTAGAGGTTTCAAACTGGTATAACTGGATAGCAAGTGTTGCCACTATCGTGGAATAAACACAGCCTCTCCTTCCTCATTGAGTGATGGGAAGAGAGGACTGCACCAGGTTGGGGAAGGGATGAGAGCAGGGATCTTGGGAGCCATGGAAGGAGAGACACGTAAGGGATACTTTTGTTTTGAACCTAGCTGTGCTGGCCTGTGCAGAGGTGGCCGTGGCCTCATCAATGGCCTGTGATCTTCAAGCTCAGCCTTGGGGATGTGGTTTTGTCCCTAATGTGCAGCTTGTACTTGGGCATAACCAAAGCACCTCAACTAGGCTGATGTCAGGAAATTGACCTAACTGCAATATCATGCCACGGCCACATTTGCATGAGTAGAATGTTAAGTTCCGTTCATGGAACTACAGGTTGTTGGGGACACGTCAGAGTCAGCTGCAGAAATTTTTTAACTTCCCATGCCTAGGCCACCTAAGATATGCTGGAGGTGGGGGCCTGGCTTAGGCATTTAAAAAGCTCCCAAGTAGATTCTAATGCATGCTGTTTATGAACTGCCAATTTGGAACATCCTCTCCTTTTATAACTGAAGGGATGACGTCTTAGGAAGGAAAAGGTCGTGACTCAGATTCTCTGCAAGTGGCAAGACTCCTCTTAGCGTTCCTGAATGTAGAAACAGTGCTTTCCTCAAATCCCAAGTACTTCCTCCTAGGGATAGGCCATAGTCTCAGGCTTTACCCACTAGACTTAAACATCAGACATTTTTGCAGACGGAGTCTTCCAAACAGCTTTTAATTCTTTGCTGGAAGGCCTAGGGGATATGCATCTTCCATCCCAGGTGCTTGTGATGGGAAGACAGCACATAGAAGTTTTCCCCGAGCTCCATACTAGAAAACAGGGGCTGAGATGGCTCTTTTTATGGCTTCTAGAGGACACGTGGGTCCCATCACAGCATGTAGAAGGCAGGTCTTGGCGTGCTCAAGGCCCTCAAATTCTTCCCTGAAGACATCACAGAGCCAGTCTGCTCGGCGTTGGATCCAAACAGCCTGAGTTCCCAGAGGGATCAATCTCCAGAGGGACTCTGTCTTTCCTGCTCATGGTTTAGCTTGGCCACAATGCTGGGGCTGCCAGTGCCCAGGTGGGCTTCTCTAGGGCCAGGACAGCAGGGTTGCTGGAGACAGGGCTGTTGGGCCTCAGCAGAGGCTATTTAATACAGGTGACATTTAGAGGGCACAGCTCATAGTTGGGTGAGTTCTCCCAGGGTATTTTCTAAGCTGCCCCAGAGCACACGGCTTGGGCCCTTTACCTGGCCCTCAAAGGCAGCCTCTAGCCCACCCCGTTAGCTGGCCCTGAAATGGGAGCTCAGTGGCGGACAATCGGTGATGTTTATAGTTGATGTTTGCGTCTTCTTTAACTTTCCTCCCCTATAAGGGAAGGGAGAAGTTCATAATGTAATTGTGTAAGTGACATGATCCTACAGAAAAACCCTGAATGAGGCAGCATCTGGCTCCAAGTGCGCATTCTTCAATAGCAGGAGAGGTGTCTGGATGTGTGAAGGGGAGAGCGTCTCTGGAGGAATGGGAGCCTGGAGTGGGGTTTCAGGCAAGATGAATCCCAGAAGCTTTTCTTTCAGGGGCATTAGTACAATTAGTTTGCACTGGGCCACACCTACAGAATTCCTTGCTCTATGTGAATTCGGACAGCAGGGGGTTAGTATCTGGTTACAGACAACTGTAACAGTAAAAATGCAATGTAGCAGGCTGGATTGGGAAAACAGTCTTTGTGCTTTCAGAACTGAACTCAGAGAAATAACAGACTGAGAATTTAGTCCAATAATTCTATCAGTCCTGAGACAATGAAGTGACACAGTCAGGGACATGGACCAGCATGAGACAGAGTAAAATGGGACAAGGTCCTGCATGGATACAGGGGGGATAAAGGAGATCACAGATGGCAGAGGAGCCACAGAATGAATGAGGAGGAGCAGGCCTGGGCAGAGAGAGAGATAGCACCTTCACCCTGCCTGACCTATGACTTTGACTTGTGCCCTAGGGAGGGGGAATTGGTGATTAACCTCCTGGGGATTACAGCGTGCTCTTGTAAATTTAACAGTTACAGTTTTGACTAGAGGCCCAAAGCATGTGGTTATTTACAATCTTGTTGAGAGAAGAGTTTGAATGGGACTCACTGCAATGCTGGAATGGACCATGAATGATTTGGTCAGACAAAGCTGAGCTGGCCTCCTGCCCTCATATCTCCATCTACACTGTTGTACTCCACTTCTCACAACACTGTAACTGTATGTGTGTGTGTGTGTGAGAGAGAGAGAGAGAGAGAGAGAGAGAGAGAGAGAGAGAGAGAGGGAGGAAGGGGAAGGAGTCACACCATTCATAGTATTATAAATGAATGGCCCCTCCTAGAATTGTGCAGTACACAACCTGTACAGCTGCACATATCAGCTCTGACAGCGAAAAAAATAAAAGTTTGGAAAATTTAAAGATTAGACTGTTGAGCTTAGCACTGGCTTGGCTCTGTGATGTGTAAGAGTCCATTACATATTTTATCTGGGGAATGGAAAAGGAATTTGGGAGGCTCTTGCTGAGAATGCTCCAACTAGTGAGAAAACTTTTCTCTCATCAAGAGAGAGATAAAACTCCAGTGAAAGTCAAAAAGGCTGTTAACTGTGGTGTCAAGCTAGGGCATAGAAAATATGAGCTCTCTACCAAAATATAATACAGGAGAAAGCCAGGAGCCTGTTCCAAAATGTCTGCATTTGTATATCTGTGGATTGCTGAAGGTGGTTTCTGGGAATACTGAAATGTTATTTACAAAGTCCTACTGTTATGTACAAATGTGTGTATGTGTATGGACAAATTCACTTGGCTTCAGAGTGTATATAGTGGACTCATTTTATGTGCATTTATGTTACATGCTGACTTTAGAAATTAATCACAACTTAAGATACAACTTTGCCATTGCCTTCAGACCTCAACACAACAAACAGCACTATTGACATGCATCAAGGTTATAGTTGGAAGCTTAGATACACAGTGGCAGGAACTCTTCAGAAAAGCAGGTGCTGTCTATGCAAGTTCCAATTACTGGTAGGAACGTGAGGGTTGTCTTAAAGACAGGATGTTTTAACAACTGTTTATTGAAGTGTAACATACATACAGAAGAGTGAACGTCACAAATGCATGGTGTGATGGTTTTTTACAAACGGAATTCTCCTAACTCCACTTAGGTTAAGAAAAAGAACATTAAAATCCTTAGATTCCTCCCAGTCACTCTCTCCCCCAAATGGAAGCAGTATCACTGCCCTTAATATCATAGATCTGTTTGACTGATTTTGAACTTTATATAAATAAAGTATGTGCTCTTTTGTGCCATCTTTCTTCTGTTTAGCATTCCATTTGTGAGATTCATCCATGTTGTGATGCGAATAGTAGCTCATTTATTTTATCATCGTTCTATGCATATGTTGGAATTTATTTATTCTACTGTTGATGGCATTTGAGTGGCTTCCAGTTTATAGCTCTCACAGACGGGCAGGAAGTTCCAAATGCCCTATAACTTTGGATAGTCACTTTCCTTTTGTTCTTTTTTTTTTTTCGCTCTAGATCTTTAGATCAATCTTTCTCAAACTGAAATGTTCATATATACACAAAATCATGAATACTGTACTTTATGGACTTTTTAAGGGTAATTTAGGTGAGTACCTCTTTCAGTGTGATTTGCAGACCACTGCAGGTGTGGGAACCAGCTGTTACTTGTCTACAAGGGGATAAGGACCTTGTATCAGGATGTAAATCAACTGTCTTTAGTAAATGCAAATGTGAAATGTAAATGTAAATCAACTGTCTAGCTCTTTATTATAGCTAACATTTTAATTTTTCATAGCAAGACTTTCTCAATGAACAAAGCATTATATTGATTTAGCTACTCCCACAAGTTTCTTACATCATTATAAACCAATAGTAGCAAGCAGTTCATGGGCTGGCTGCTTTGAACAAAATTGAGATAAACTATTTATTTATTTATTTTTGAGATAGAGTCTCTGTCTTCCAGGCTGGAGTACAGTGGCGCGATCTCGGCTCACTGCAACCCACACATCCCGGGTTCAATTGATTCTCATGCCTCAGCCTCCTAAGTAGCTGGGAATACAGGTGTATGCCATCATGTGCAGCTAAGTTTTGCATTTTTAGTAGACATGGGCTTTCGCCATGTTGCCCAGGCTAGTCTCGAACTCCTGGCCTCCAGTGATCTGCCTGCCTTGGCCTCCCAAACTGCTGGGATTACAGGCGTGAGCCACTGCACCTGGTTGAGATAAACTATTTAAACTTTTTAATTTTCACAGTATATGATGATTATAGACCCTCCTATCCTCCACTGCCACCCTCATAAGATGCATCACTATGCATTTTACATATTACATGGATTTGCATTTTCCCTTGGGGATTCGTCAAGTTCAAAGAGAAAAGTAGCTCCTTCAGTTATGCCCAGGAGAGAGAGAGAGACAAGAGCCAAAGATGCCAACAGGCCCATATATTTGTAGTCATCATTTTCCTGGATGACTAGACAAGTAGCCAGCCCCTTGAGAATGTGTCTTGGTCAGGGCAGTGGCTTCTCAGGTGAAGATGATATCTCTTGACTTTCTCAGGTAATGTGATCCATTTGGGATGTTAATACGGTGATGAACAATGCCAAGGCCACCCTCCAGCTGTTCTGCACTATGACTATGACTACGTCTTGCAGTGTCCTTTCTTCATATATTTGCTTATTCCACATTTTCTACCCGCAACACCTGGGTCTCTGCGATGTCACACATCATTCAAGCTCCACTGCAAGCTCCACTTCCTTTTTTGAAATAATTGATTGAGATAAAATTCACTCAATATAAAATTCCTCATTTTCAAGTGAGCAATTTTATGGCGTTGAGGACATTTATAACTTTGTCTACCTCTTTCTGGTCCCAAAACATTTATATTGCTCCAAAGCAAACCCCCTTATTCATTGTTGTGGGTTGAATTGCGTCCCCCCAGAATTCAGATGTTGAAGTCTCAACCCCCTGTAAATCAGAATGTGACCTTATTTGGAAATAGGGTCCTTTCAGATGTACTGAGTGAAAAAGAGGTCATTAGGATGGGCCTTAATCTAATGTGACTGGTGTCTTTATTCGAAGAGGAAAGCTGGATGCAGAGCCACGTACATAGGGAGAACAGCATGTGACAAGGCAGAGATCGAGGTGATACAACTGAAGGCAGGGACACCAAAGATTGTCAGCAAACCACCAGAAGCTGGGGAGAGGCATGGAACAGTTTATCCCTCACATCCCTCAGAAGGAACCAATCTTGCCGAGAACTCCATCTCAGACTTCTAGCTCCCAGAATTATAAGCCAATCAGTTCCTGCTGTGTAAGCTGCCCAGTTTGCAGGATTTTGTTATGGTAACCCTAGGAGATGAATATGCCCATTAAACAGTTTTTCCCATTCCCTCTGTGATGGTTAATTTTATGTGTCAACTTGGCTAAGCTATGGTACCTAGTCTTTGGTCAAACACCAGTTTAGATGTTGTTGTGAAGGTATTAGTTTAAGATCTGATGAACATTTAAATCAGTAGATTTTGAGTCAAGCAAATGGCCCTTTATAATGTGGGTGCGCATCATCCAATCAATCCAAGTAGAAGACCTTAACAGGAAAAAGACTGATGTACCCTGAGTGATATGGTTTGGTTCCTTGTCCCCATCCAAATCTCATCTCAAACTGTAATCTCCATAATCCCTGAGTGTCAAGGGAGAGACTTGGTAAGAGGTGACAGGATCATGAGAGTGGTTTCCCCCATGTTGTTCTTTTGATAGTGAGTGAGTTCTCACAAGAACTGATGGTTTTATAAGTGTTTGACAGTTCCTCCTTCTCACTCTCTCTCTTTCTGGCCACCTTGTGAAGAAGGTACTTGCTTTTCCTTTGCCTTCCACCATGATTGTGTTTCCTGAGGCCTCTCCTCAGCTATGTGGAACTGTGAGTCCGTAAAACCTTTTTTCTTTATAAATTACCCAGTCTCAGGAAAGTTCTTTACAGCTGTGTGAAAATGGACTAATACAACATGGAAGAGGAAATTCTGCCTCTGGACTGTCTTCAGATTGCAGTAACAACTTCTCACTGAATCACCAGCCTATCCTGCCCTGCAGATTCAGACTGGGGAGCACCAACAATCATGTGAGCCAATTTCTTAAAATAACTCTTGCTTCCCCCATATGTATACATATATATCTATATATATGTATAAAATAATTGGAGATACACACACACACACACACACACACACACACACACACACACACATACACACACACTGTTTCTCTGCAGAATCCAACTATTATACTCAATACCCCCAGCTCCTGGAAACCACCAATCCACCAATCTGTGTTGTGTCCTTATGGATTTATCTATTCTGGATATTTCACATTAATAGAGTCACACAATATGTGACTTTTCATGTCTGGTTTCTTTCACTTACCATAATGTTTTCTAGATTTGTCAGCATTATAGCATGTATCAGTACTTCATTTCTTTTTATGGCTGAATAATTGGTATATTCCATTGTAGGTATATGCCATAATTTCTTTATTCATTCCTCCATTGATGGACATTTAGGCTGTTTCCACCTTTTGGATGTGTGAATATGCTGCTATGAACATGTGTGTACATGTACTTATTTGAGCCCCTGTTTTTAATTCTTTTGGGTATACACCTAGGAATGGAATTGCAGTCATATGCCAATTCTATTTAACTTTTTGAGGAACTGTCAAACTGTTTTTTACAGCAGTTAAACTATTTTACATTCTCATCAGCAACATATGAGGGTTCCAATTTATCTACATCCTTGCAAATATGTTATTTTTCATCTTTTGATTATTGCCACCCAGTGGTTGGGAAGTAGTACCTCATCATGATTTTGGTTTGCATTTATCTAATGACTAAGATGTTGAACATCTTTTCATGTGTGTTTGGCCATTTGTATATCTTCTTTAGAGGAATGCCTATTCAAGTCCATTGCCCATTTTTATTTGAGTTGTTTGTCTTTTTGAGCCTTATCAGATACATGATTTGTAAATATATCCTCTTATTCTGTAGGTTTTTCTTTTACTTTCTTGATAATGTTCTTTTTTTGATCCACAACTTTTTTTTTTATTTTGACGAGGTCTAATGTATTTGTTTTTTCTTTTGTTGCTTATTCTTAGATATCTAAGCATAACTAAGAATCCATTGCCAAATCCACAGTCACGAAGATTTACCCCTATGTTTTCTTCAAAGAATTTTGTAGGTTTAGGTCTTATATATAAGTCATTGATCCACTTTGAGTTAATTTTTGTACGTGGTATAAGGTAGGGTCTAACGTGATTCATTTGCATGTGGATATTCAGTTGTTTCAGAGCCATTTGTTGGAGTGAGTATTCTTTCTCCATTGAATGGTCTTAAAACTGTTGTTAAAAATAAAAGTTAGTGATAGAATTATAGGGTTATTTCTGGATTCCCAATTCTATTCTGTAAGTCTATGTGTCTATCCTTATGCCAGTGCCACCCTGTCTTGATTACTATAGTTTTATAGTAAGTTTTGAAATAGGCAAGTGTCAGTCCTCCTACTGTCTTCTTTTTCAAGACAGTTTTGACTATTTGGAGCCCCTTGAAATTTCATATGAATTTAAGGATTGAATTTTCCATTATGCACAAAAGGCCATTGGAATTTTGATGGGGATTGTATTGAATATGTAGACTTCTTTGAGTAGTATTGACACTTTGACAGTATTACATCTTCTGAACCATGAGCACAGGATATCTTTCCATTTACTTAGGTCTCCTTTAATTTCTTACAGCAATGCTTTGTAGTTTTCTGTGTACAAGTCTTTTACCTCCTTTGTCAAGTTTGTTCCTAGGTATTCTATTCTTTTGGATACTATTATAAATGAATTATTTCCTTAATTTCCATTTCAGATTGTTCATTGCTGGTGTACAGAAACACAGTCAATTTTTGTGGGTTGATTTTGTCTCCTGCAACTTTACTGAATTTATATACTAGCTCTAATAGCTTTTTGTGAAATCTTTGGGATTTTTCTTTGCATGAGATCATATAATCTATGGAAAAAGAGAGTTTTATTTCTTTTATTCCAATTTGGATGCCTTTTATTCATTTTTTTCTTGCCTATTTTCTCTAGGTAGAAATTCCAGTATGATGTTGACTAGCAGTGGTGAAAGTGGGCATTCTTGTCTCATTCCTAAGACTGAAATTTTTCAGTCTTTCACCACTAAACATAATGTTAACAGTGAGTTTTTAATAAATGATATTTATTATGTTGGAGAAGTTCCCCTCTATTCTTAGCTTTCTGCATTTTTTTTAATAAGAAAAGGGTGTTGGATTTTGTCAAATGCCTTTTGTGCATCAATGGAGGCGACTGTGGTCTTATTCTTCCTTCTAATAATGTGGTGCCTTACATTTTCTAATTTTCTTATGTTGAGCCATTCCTTGCATTCCTGGGATAAATCCCACTTAGTCATGGTATTTACTCCTTTTTAATGTGCTGCTGTGTTCAATTTACTAGTGTGTTGTTGAATATTTTTCATCTGTATTCATAAGAGATATTGTTATGTGATTTTCTTTTCATGTGATGTCTATATCTGGCTTTGGTACCAGGGAAATGCTGGCCTCATAGAATTAGTTAGGTAGCATTCCTTCCTCTTCTATTTTTTGGAAGACTTCGAGAAGAATTGGTGTTAATTTCACTATAAATATTTGGTAAAATTCACCAGTGAAGTTATCCGGCCCAGGGATTTTCTTTGTTGGAAGGTTTTTGATTACTGATTCAATCTCTCTCTCTCTCTCTTTTTGAGATTTGTGTTTCTCTTCTTGATGTCTTGCCAACTTTATTCGTCAAAAGTAGATTGAGAAAGTGATAGTGGCCAGGCTTGGTGGCTCATGCCTGTAATCCCAGCACTTTGGGAGGCCAAGGTGGGTGGCCACCCTTTGCAGGGCAGCAGGTAGGATTGTGGTCCATGGCTCTCACCTCAGCACACATTGCAGTGAAGGATACAGTCTGGTGTGGGCTGGGCACTCAAAATGGTACCATGCTGCTGCTGCTTAAGATTTAGGGGTTTGTGTGATCCAATGTAAGCTCTCTTTCTGGAGAAATACCTCCTTGTAGTTTCCTGGGAGCTCTCTGTGTTGGTCTCAGGTTCTGCTAGGGTCAAAGAGCTCTCCCCTGGCTATGGACACCTGGGTGCGGGTTGAGGTGAGTGTCTCTCATTTACCGTTTTCCCACAATCAGAAGTCTCCCAGCTCCCAGCTGATCCTGGCCAAGCAGGTTGCCTCACTTTCCTCTCCTTCCTTGCTTTACATGTTTCCTGTCACTTCCCTGTTGTATTCCAGTGCCCTCTCTTGGGTGATCTATTCCAACTGTAATTGTCTACTCACTATTTCAGTTCTTCCTAGTGAAGGAAGTGAGTAAGAGATGCCTGTAATCAACCATCTTGAAAGCCCTCTCAATCTCTTGTTATAGGTCTGTTCAGATTTTCTGCTTTTTCTTGAGTGAGTTTTGGTAATTTGTGTATTTCTAGGAATTTGTCCACTTCATCCAGGTTATTTAATTTGTTGGCATACAATTGCTCATAGTATTCTTATAATCTTTTCTATTTTGTTAGGGTTGATGGCCATGTTCTTACTTTCATTTCTGATTTTATTTGCATCTTCTCTCTTTTTTTATTAGTCTATCTAAAGGTTTGTCAATTTTGTTGATCTTTTCAAAGAACCAACTTTTGCTTTTATTGATTCTCTCTATTTTTCTATTTATTTCTGCTCTGCTAATCCTTTGGCTAGCTATAGATTTGATTTGCTCATCTTTTTCTAGTTCCTTAAGGTGTAAAGTTAGCTTACTCATTTGAGATTTTTTTCTTTTCTAATATAGGTGTTATCAATTTTCTTCTGAGCACTGCCCCATTGTATCCCATGTTTTGATATGTTGTGCTTTCCCCCCGTTCATCTCTATGCATACTCTAATTTCCATTGGGATTTCTTCTTTGATCCATTGCTTGTTTAAAGATATATTGTTTCCATATTTTGGATATTGTCATTTGCCACAACATGGGTGGTCCTGGAGGACATTATGCTCAGTGAAATAAGCTATACACAGGAAGAAAAATATTGCATGATCCCCACTTATATGTGGACTCTAAAAAAAGTCAAATATATACATAGACTAAAACAGTGGTTATCAGGGTAAAGCAGGGAGTGGTGGGGGAAAGAAATGGGGAGATATAAGTCAAAGGATGTAGGATGAAGAAGCTGAAAAATTGAATGTGCAACATGAGGACTATGGTTGATAATACTGTATCGTATTTAGGGTTTTTGCTAAATGAGTAGATTACAGATGCTCTTGCCATAGAGAGGAAAATGGGTGACTGTAGGAGATGATGGACATATTAGTATGTTTCACTATAGCATCCATTTTACTATATATATATGCATCTTATAACATCATGTTGTATTATATATGCATAATACAATTCATTTTAAAAGGAGTATATTCTTTAATTTCCACATATTTGTGGACTTTCTAGATTTTATTCTCTTATTGATTTCTAGATTTATTCCTTTGTGGTAAGAAGAATCATCATTTGTATGATTTCAATATTTTTAAATTTATTGAGGCTCATTTTGTGGCCTAACATGAGTTCTATCCTTGAGAATGTTCCATGTGCATTTGAGAAGAATGTGCATTCATTCTGCTAATTTTGGGTGGAGTGTTCTGTATTAATGTTATATCTACCCAGCATCTTCATTAATCAATAGGATTGACTTCTAATGCCAAAATGGAAACTCTAAGCTGGTCTTTCCTACCTTAGAGTAAGAGCTCACCCTTTCTCACTACTATGTCCATTCGAGGCTCCAGTCTCAGCCTGGATTCCCACTCCTGAGCAACTGTGCTTTGAGAAACAGATCTTGGTGCTCTTACATATTGTTAAAGTTTCCTATTTTTATATTGATCCTTCTGTCTAGGTATTCTATCCATTACTGAAAATAAGGTATTGAAAATTATCTATTTTTATAGAACTGTTTATTTCACCTTTCAAATATGGGAGCTCTAATGTTTGGTGCATACATGTTTATAAGTGTTACTTTTTTTTTTTTTTTTTGAGACAAAGTCTTGCTGTGTTGCCCAGGCTGGAGTGCAGTAGTGCAATCTCAGGTCACCACAACCTCCGTCTCCCTGCTGGGATTACAGGCGTGAGCCATCATATTTTTTGATGAATTGACACTTAATATGTAATGTCCTTTTTTGTCTCTTGTCACAATTGGCCTTATAACTAGATTACCTTCCTGTTACCCTTAATAGAGTGCCAGTGACTTTAGAGATAGATCTAATACCCCCACTCCACCCCCAGGCCCTCCACTGGACACTGCTCATGGTATGCATCTAGAAATGTTGACCAGTTAACTGGACTCTTATGCTTAGTCATATCCCGTGGATCAGCCCCCACATGGCCTTGAGTGAGTTGCTGAGAGAGACAGCACAGCTGCCTATTCCTTTGACCAACCGCAACGCAGGTTTCCATTTACTTTGTGTTCATTTCGGTATGGATCCAGTTCCCTTGAAATGAAATGGGACTTGCAAGGAATTCTTTGTTCTTGCTTTGTAGAAAGAGGCAGAACAGAGAAGACATGTACTTCAGGGGAGTTTTGTGATACTTTTCTTGTCCCAGCTTCTTGTCCTATTCTGTTTCTCTGCAGTCTTTCTTTCCAGAGAAAGTTTGACTCAAAAGATGGTTGGATGTTGGGCTCTGGTTGAGCCTGAGGCTCTTGGCTTCCAGAGTGAGCCCAGCAGCCCTTGTGCTGGCTTGGTGTCTGTAATAGTAAGTTTGTTTAATGAACAAAAAACATAATGACTTTAATTAGGTTTTAGTGTAAATAATGAGCAAGATTACAGAGCAGGTTCTTTTGTCACTCTTATGGAATTTATGGTTGTTTGAAAAGTCAACACTGACTTCTAGCCACTTCTGTCCTCATTTCTTGGTCAACCCAGCATCTTCATTAATCAATAGGGTTGACTTTTGATGACTGAGTGGAAACTCTGAGCTGGACTTTCCTACTTTGGAGTAAGCCCACCCTTCCTCACCCCCATGTCCATCTGGGGCTCCAGTCTTAGCCTAGATGCCCACTCCTGAGGGGCTGTGCTTTGAGAAGATACTGGGCAGGGGTGAATAGAGGGCCAGCAATGTTGGAGGTAGTGGTCCATTCAATGAAAGACAGGCTGGGGAGTTCTGGCCTTCCACCCAGAGCCCGATTCCATCCTGTGCTGAATATCTACTATATTTCAGGTACTGTGCTGCTCACAAAATCCCCAAAGGCTAGAGGGGCTCATAGCAGGCCAGATCAAACCTGCTTCAGAGAAACTGAGAAGGACAAAGGCCAAAAACAAGCACTCATATAAGATCTGGCATATGCCAATAGCCTAAGGCCTCCCATAGGCCAAGACAGAGTCCACAGCCATTTGGGCAATGGGTGCAAAGTGGGCTTTGTGGGATGAGCTGGGGAGGAGCTGAAGTTGCTCTTTGGGTGATCAAGCCTTCTCTATACCCTAAAGGCTGAGATGCCAGTTTCCATGGTTTGTAAAGTTATTTTTTTTTCTAATCTGGTTCTCATTCCCTGTTGTCAGCATTTTATTTGCTAGCCTGGCATCTCCAGCTTCAAAGATACTACCCATGGACCAGTCTCCTATCCCAGGGACCAGCCCCCACATGGCTTAGAGATGCTGAGAAAGAGCACAGCTGCCCTATTTCTTTGACCAACCACAAAGCTGGTTTTCATTTACTGCCCTGAGAGAAACTTCCTGAAGACAGGGGCCTCTGTCTGTATCTGAACTTCTTGGGCAGTGAGTCCCTTTTTCCCTGACCACACCCTCCACTGTCCCTCATGAGAGACCTACCCACTTCCCTGAGCCCCTCCTGATGGTGCCCAATGCAGCTAGAGCTGGCCCAGCTTTCCCTGCCTGGGTCTCTACCAGGAGGTTGATGAGAGCTGTTCTGCCCATGGACTTGAGGGCCTCGTTTCCAGCTTCCAACACATGCTCTCTTTCCACTGGAGGAGAGGGCAGGTTCTGATAATCTTGTCCTCTCTTCCCAGGTGACTCAAGATTGGCCTCATGAGTAGGGCTCACCAGCCTCAGCTCTCTGGCACAGCCCCATGCTCACTGGAGCTGTGGTGTGGAGGGGCTTGAGTGTGCCTGATGGAGGGGCAGGCAGCACCCTAGTGTGTTCAGAGAGTAGCAGAAGCCTAGGCTGCTCTGGGCCCCACTGTGTGCTGCAGCCTGGTGGTCATAATGATTTCCCAGTTATTTATTGTCATAACATTAATCACTCTGAACTCACTTGGCATTAATGAGGACATAATGTGTACTTGGACAGGAATTTTTATTGTAGTGCAGCATTAACTAACTGGCCTATTATTTAAAGTGTTACCAGACCTGGTATGTACAAATGGTTTACTTTGCAGTCTCCAAGTGTTGAAACTTTGTATGGTTTGTGTCAAGAAAATAGGAATATGGAACACAAAGAAGGCAGGGGCTGAAGTAATGTGGGGCTGTCTTCTGGCTGTCAGGGATACAGAGTACACTCAAGAAGGGGGTGCCCACTGGTCAGCCTGGGCACCCACCTCTGCCCTGGGCCTCTGCTGGTCTAATTCGTATGTCTGGGCTGGATGCCGGATGTGAGAAGCTTGGGGTGGTATTGAGGTGCTTTCTGAGTTACCACCATGGGGACAAAGAGGAGCAGAATAACAGGATTTAGAATGTAAAAAGGCTGTAGCCTATGCTGAAGATCACGTGTTTTTCAGATTCTTCCTCGATTCTTCGTCAGTGGCAGCTGTAGCCCTTGTCCTCCTGCACCTGCCCATCTGTGGGTCTCCACTCTTCTCCACCATCAGCCTACCCTGTTGAGGCTTGGCCCTCACTGCCCACCCTTACTGAGCATCAGCTCTTGAGATGCTCTGAGCTTCCTGGCCTTTTCATGTGCTATTACCTTGTTTGGCTAATGTCTTTTCATCTTTTGAGATTTAACTCAGGCAACATACCCTTTATGAAGTTTCCTAGTTTCCCCCGCTCCAAAGGTTTATTTAGATGCCCTTTCTATGTGGACCCCTGTTAAGGGCCACACATGCACACATACTGGGGAAATGACTCAGATGAGTATGAGATAGTCCTTGCCAGTTTAGTGTGGAAGGCCAGCCAGCCACACACATCCACATCCACACACACACCCACACACACCTCAGTTAGCTAACAGGAATTTGGTGCATAAAATGCTTTAGAGATAAGGTGCTAAACTATGCAGTCCTTACAGCTAGAGAAGAGTAGACAAATGGACCACTAGGTTGATATTTAGAAAAGGGGAAAATTAGTCTGTACTGGACTTTGCAGAAGAGATAGGAAGTATGCACATCTGTGAGAACGTATTGAGGGGCATATTTGGCTTGGGGAGCAACTGAATGATAGCCCCATCCTGTCTCAATCTATCTGCTTTATGGTTTACAAAGTACTTCCATTTTATCTTCTTTGAACATCAAAACAACATGAGTAGATATGCAAAGAATACATTCGTCCCCATTTTTCAAATGAAAACACAACACAACATGAAACAAAAAAGGAGGCTCAGATAGGTTAACTAACTTAACCATGGCCCTCCCAGCTGACAGCCTGAAGCAGAGTGAGACTTCCTGCCATCATACAGGGATTGTTGGTGAATTACCAAGTTAAAGTTGATTTTTTTTTTTTTTTTTTTTTTTTTTTTTTTTTTTGTGATAGGGTCTTGTTCCACCACCCAGGCTGGAGTGCAGTGGGACAATCTCAGCTCACTGCAACCTCCACCTCCTGCGTTCAAGCATTTCTCCTGCCTCAGCCTCCCCAGTAGCTGGGATTACAGGTGCCTGCCACCATGCCCAGCTAATTTTTGTAATTTTAGTAGAGACGGGGTTTCACCATGTTGGCCAGGCTGGTCTTGAACTCCTGAGCTCAGGTGATCTGCCCGCCTCAGCCTCTCAAAATGTGTGAGCCACGGCGCCTGGCCAAAGTTGATTTTCGAATGCAAGAGTTATGCTTGCAGCTTTTACTCCACATTGACTTAAGCTGTGTTCTGAATGAAAAGAACATTGCATTGAGCTCAATGGTTCCATCGGAAGGTGAGAGATGAGAAGGAGTCAAATAATGTTAGTCGAAGTTGTCATTTGTGCCCATAGATGCTGACTGGTGAAATCCAGGAGGAGCTGAGGAATATACTGTCATTTGTGTACAGTGAGTAAACAGAGCCTCCTTTAGAAAAAAACAAGTTGCAGGTGACACATTTTTTTTTCTAAGAAGACACATAGCAGCCATTCAAATGCCAGCATTAAGGGATCAGGGAAAATTCACAGGAGTAGAAGATTGAATCATTGAGTGTGTATAGTGAGTGGTATAAAAGAAAATGAGGATTTTAAAGAAGAATTCACATGTAATAAGGTTTTCCATTTGCTGCATTGCATTCTCCAGTTCAAGTTAATCCATAGACTAACCATATATGGATAACCAAGGCTAATTAGAAGTAGTAGTCATGTGATCCAAGAACAAGTGTACTGGGAAGAGAAGGAAAGGAAGTACGAATGTGCAGAGCTACAATGGCAAATATGTCTTTGACTCAATGAACAACACTCATTGGTGATTTGTACCTACCCCACATCAGTTGCTGTATACATTTTTGAATGAATAAATGTGTAATGAATGTGTCTACAGCTCTGCTCTTGGACTATGACCTATGCTTCCACATTATAACATTATAACAAACACATGGCTTTGGTGTTTTCCTTTTGATTTTGACTGGCACTGTACCCAGTGGTCTCTTTATTACTTCCTGCTGCCCCTTAAGAGTCAAGGCATAAACCTTGTTTTTACCCCTAACTCAGCTGTGAGGCATTCCTAGAAGCCAGCTAAGCCTGGCAGGTGTGGAGTGGGGTGAGCTGAGGATGTGCCAGCCTGTCTTTGGGAAGATAGCTCGTGGATTGGCAGGAGGTACAGATGTAGTGTCAGACAGGTCTGTCTCAGTGGAAAAAGGACTCCTGGCAGTAATCAGGTCTCACAGAGAAACTTCCAGGGGCCTGAGAGAAGGCCAGAGCCTCATCAAAATTGTCACTCAGAAAGAGTAGGGCTTCAGTCCTTGTGGAGTCTTCTCAGCAAACCAAGCTTAAGATCTATGTTAGGGTAAGTAATGTTAGTGTTTGCATGGTTATAATGAACAAATCCCCAAATCTCAGTGGCTTAATGTAGCAGAAAGCTTATTTCCCACTCACGCGTAGTCCAATATGATGTTCCTGATGTCTTTCCAGGTGGCATTAGATATGTTCATTTAGGGACATTGGCTCCTTCCGTCTGTGGTTTTGCCTTACCCTGGGGCTGTGGATTGCTGTGCCAGGTTTCTGTGTCTGGCTGACAGATGGGGGAAAAGGAGAATGACACATGGAAGGTTTTAATGGACCAGACCTAGGAATGGAGCGCAGCACTTCTGCCCACAATCCATGGGCCAGCACTCAAAGACGTGGCCACGCCTCACTGCAGAGGAAGCTGGTGTATGGTCTGTGTGCCCAACAGGAAAAGAAAATGTATTTAATGAATCAGTCTCTGCCATGCCTTGCATAGACTGTAAATAGTCATAACTACCTACTATGTGCCAGGCATTATGCTGATCTCTGTATACAATTTATCTGTATCCTGATGGATATTTGAAATCATGGGCCCACCCAGACCCACAGGATACTGGGCTTAGGTTAGAATGACCTCTCCTTTTGATGGGGTATATGGGGTTTCATACACAGCCTATACAGCCTAATCTACTTCTTTTTTTCTTTTTTTTCTTTTTTTTGAGACAGTGTCTTACTCTGTGGCCAGGCTAGAGTGCCATGGCACCATCTTGGCTCACTGCAACCTCCACTTCCCAGGTTCAAGCGATTGTCCTGCTCAGCCTCCTGAGTAGCTGAGACTACAGGCACACACCACCACACCCAGCTAATTTTTGTATTTTTAGTAGAGGCGGGGTTTCACCGTGTTGGCCAGGCAGGTCTTGATCTCCTGACCTCATGATCTGCCCGCCTCAGCCTCCCAAAGTGCTGGGATTACAGGCATGAGCCACCACACCCGTCCCTAACCTGCTTCTTATTGGTTAGGGCCTAGGCTTGTCAACCTGAAGTTGGATGGTTTTTAGGGCTTTGAGTGCCTGTAGACTGATAGGAGCTGGATGGAGAACTGGGGGATCAGAGGGTCTAACATCATTGGCCTTGAACCATTGCTGCTGGTCCAGCTTCTCACCAAGCCCTTTCTCCAGGTTTAATGGTTCACCTGGGAATGTGGTATGTTTGGGATTTCATCATAAAGAGCCATTGGCCAGACTTTGGGTACCAGGTTATCACTGAGTGACACCCTCCGAGGTCTTTTTTTATTCACTGTCTTTCCTTTCTCTGCTCCTGTGTTCCTTTTTTCTCATTGTTTCTCCTAATTTCCTTTTATTTTCCTCCTAATTGTCATTGTGGACAGGTCTGCTGGTAAGTTGAAAGAGTTTATCCAAGCTGACATTCTGTTTATAATTCCTAATTTACATTCCAGCTTTAGCTTTTGTTTCTTGACTGTGGCCAGTGTGTTCTCTGTGTTTTCTTTTCGTCTCTTGACCGTGGCCAGTGTGTTCTCTGCGTGCTTGGCATTGGGTTGTGCAGAGTGAAGAAAGCAAAGGTCGGGCCTTCAATGGGTGACATGTTGATGAAACCCAGGTCTCAACATGACAGATATGTGGACACCACATAAGAGTGTTTACTTGTTTACTCATTACCTGCAAGTAGCAGCATCCTTATCATGTTCGTGGAAAACACCCAGGAGTTTGGGGCATGCAGGAGTAGGGAGCTGGGGGCTTTTTCCCCAGTTAGGCATGTACCTCCCCCTGTTAGGAGCAGCCCCTTCTTTATTGTTAATCATGCCTTTGTTTAAAATGCCTCCAAATTATGATGGGCTGGGGCCTGGAATGCACACAATAGCATTCTCTTCCTAGTTCTGTGCAACTTTGGGCAAGCCAGTATTTTTCTTTTGACCTCAAGTTCACCAACTGTATAGTAAAGAAATTGGAAAAGATGTTATTTGAAGTTTCTTTCAGCTCTGAAATCCAAGAATCTTAATTTTCTTTAATAATTTATGTAGCTCTCTTTTCACACAGGGAGGCAGTATGGTAAGATGGAAATGGTGTGTTTTCTAAGCCTCAGTTTTTTCACCCTTAAAATGGGGGTAAGATCTATTACTTTGTAGGAATTTGTGAAGATCAAATGAGACAATATATATGAGGTGTTTAACATGATCCCTGACTTGCGGGGGCTAATTCAAGACATGTCTGTTGCCCCTTTCACCCCAGAGTTAAGTATGGCCCATGGCTCTCTGGGACAGCTCAGCCAATCCTCCAAATAGACAGAGAAACCACATGTCACAGATGGTGAATCAGGCATGTGAGGCAGTGGCCCAAACTCAGGCACCTGGAGCCACCCACATTAAACCAAGCGTCCTGGGAAGACAAGAGGTGTTGTTTCTGGGGCTGGCACCTGGCTTTGCCCTTTGGAGCACAGGGAATAAAAACCCTATTAGGCCACAGAGAGGGCAGGCTCTCCATGTAGCAACACATGCAAATGTGTTTGTCATTAGGCTGTTCATGCCAATAATCCATATCTTTTCCTCTTTCCTTTGTTGTGTTTTTTTTTCTGATGGCCAGAGGCCATACAAAACACACTGTCTCATAAGCTTCAACGGCCCATTCTGCCTTCCCAAGCCGGAGTGGGGGCTACTCCCTAGGGTTCTGGCAGTTCCCGAGTCTTTGTGAAATTGAGCTGGGACTTGTGTGCTGGTCTCTTGGCCAGCAGTGTCATCCACTTATCCCTTCACCAAACACATAATGGCCTATGCACACTCCCAAATACCAGCACTAGACCCATGCAAGGAGGGTACCCAGAGTGCCGGCTGGGGAGGCCCTCAGATGCAGGATGCCCAGGCAGGCCATTGGTTTCCGAGGACAAATGAGTGGGATCCCTTCCACTTAGCCTGGCACTGACAGTCCTCCATGGGAGGCCCCATCTTCCTTCTCCTGCTTCTTCCCTGTAGTTCCCCTATCCAAAATATCTGATCCTCTGACCCCAAGCTTGCAACACCAATCTCCATGCCCGTAATGTAGATTCACTGGTACTTCACAAGTACCAACCAGTGCCTTTGCTGGGCATGCCACTAAGAAAGATGTCAATCATCTTCCCTATTCCTGCTCCACTTCCTCAAGGCTAGTCCTTGTGTCTGAGGCTCAGTCTGGCTGCACCTAAGCATTATTTTCCTGACTGTTCCAGTCCATGGTGACTTTCAGCCCTCTTCTGACCCCTGGTTACATTGCCTGCTCCATCACTTCCTCACAAGGCCACCTGAAAGTGTTATTCATTCATTTATGTACAAGCAACTGGTTTATTAAAGAATCTCTGCTTGATGAGGTTTACCATCATAATGATTTTTAATTTTTTTCCAATCATCACTTTCAGTGAAACCATCCCAAATCTCCTATTCATACTACCTAGTAGCTCCCTTAACAATATCTAGCCCAGATTCCATAATTTTTTAGTTACATTTGTTTACTAGAATTATCTTATTTGGTGATTTGACTTATTCCTAATAACTAATTAACCCATTTATTCTCCAATTTGATTCACAGCCCTTTTCTCTCCACCCACCAATGTCTAGCTTTGCTCTCTACTCTGGTGGCATTGAAAGAAAATGTGCTTTGTGTACGTGCATGTGTGAGCGTGCATGGTGGCATTTAGTCCCTCAGGTATGGTAGGGTGGAGTGAAGAGACCCTAAAGAGGGCAAGCATCCTCCTTCCCTGGATGAGGTTGTGGTCTTCTTCTAGGATGACTATAACTGCCCTTCTGTAGTTATAACTATAACTACAGTTTCCATGAGGAAGTGTGGTAGCTCCAGTGTGTCCTACTGACAAGGGCTCCTTCCCTTGAGACCCCACTGGTACTGGAGGTTCCTTGGAGATTGGGCCAGCCCTTCTGCCTGTTCCCATGTGGTGGTATCAGGCTACACCCCCTTTATTGTATGTCTTTCTGTCACCTGTACTGAGCAGTTCTCAAACTCATCTGCTCTCTACAGCCAAATGGCAAGCATCTTTTGTACCTCTTGGAACCTGAAAAGTCAGGAAGATAGTTCTAGTCCCTCTTTTCTCACATTTTCCCACCGCAGCAGTTCTCCCCAGGTTCCTTTCTCCTTGCTTAGGTAACAATGGGGCAGGTCAACAAACCTGATACTAAAGCAGATATCAAACAAGTGAACGAAATACAAGTCTCTTATTCTTGGACATACCACTGTATTAGGTTCTTGGGGCTTCCTTAAGATGGTACCTCAAACTGGGGGCCTTGGAATAACCAAAATTCATTATCTCACAGTTCTGGAGCTCCAACCTGCTCAGAACAGTGTTAAAACAACCATATCCCTAATGATATTAGCTTTCTTTTATAGAGTTCCTACGGGCAGAGCCTTCCATTTCTGATTGATTTTGATTCTTATGAAATTTGTGTCAGGGATGATTATGTCTCACATTGTGGCTGTCCCACTGTTACCCTTGGTCTACTTTGTGCGCCTATGGAGCCTGCTGTGTTCTCCAGATCCTGTATAGATCCACATCCTACAGGCAGTGAATTGGTTTGATGGGATTGATGGCTTAGCTAAATTGTTTCAGCATCACTGGAGCCAGTTTTAAGGAGCAGGTCAGTTTGGAAGGATTAAGGAATTATATGTGATTAAAAAAGTTTCCAAAATGAGAAGCCCCCAGATGACACTGTCTGAGAAACAGGAGCCAGTGGCCAGTTTCTATTCATTTTTCAAACTGAGATGAAGACAAGCATTTTACTGGCTTTTAATTTAATACCAGTGAGGCCTCCCACATCAATCAAGGCTTCCTCTGCATGTGACCTGGGAGGGCTTCTGATTTGAGAGGCAATTCTGAGAGGTGCTCAGGGATTTGGTCAGACACATGCAGATACAGCCTCAGTTCCTTACTTGAGTGCTAGTTCTAGCTTTACCACGGTCCCCTAATGTGACGTGTAAGCTCTGTATGTGAGATTGGGTGTGTGATTGTGTACTACCAGATGAACACACCTATGGATACGCCCTTTTAGGCTGAACTAAAATTGCCTTTCTTGGATGGTGAAAATAATACCTGATCATAAAAAAGGATAATCTCGAGGCTATTTCTTCCCAGCAGAAATTCTCCCGTAAGCCTTCTCGCATCTGTCTGCCCCACCAAGCCTGTGTGTGACCCCAGAGTCTGGTTGTTTTGCCTCATTCAGGTTTCTCTGGGTCCCCGGAATGATTCAGGATCCACGCTCTCCGTCAGCTCTGGAACGGGGCCAAGCGCATGCCTGCCTTTCTGCTGTCTTCATTAATACTGGGCTTGTGTCCCAGCATTCCTGAGAAATTGATAGAGACAGAACATCAATTGTAGTTTAGCTCTACAATGGGGAAACTCACGGTGACAGACTGGGGGATTTTTTTGCCAGGGAAGTCGATGGGCCCTTTCCTGGAGCAGCTCAGTGTTGAGGCTCTCTGGGCTTTTGTGAGGTCATCGAGTGGGACATAAGACAAGAGCAACAAGCCGCTAATCTGCTAATTGCAGCCTGGCTAAGTGATATTACCTTTGTGTTTGGCTTTCCTGGACTTGAAGAATGGCTATGTATGTGCAAGAGAACAAAACCAAGATGCCTTCTCCCAGACTGGGAGGAAGCTGTGGTGTCAGATTTAGAACTCAGCAGATCCAGACTGAGGCCAGCCTGGGCAGCTGTGGTCTGACCTGGAACTCCCATCTGGGGAAGGGCACAGAATGGGGGCAGAAGAAGGTAGCCTGAGCAGTGTGGGTACAGGGTGGGCCCACTCAATGTCTGTTAGATTCCTCTATTGGTTTCCCATGGTGTTTGAGAACATCATGTAGCTGTGGCCTCTTTGGGTCCCCATTGGTCAGGTGATTTTTGAGGGGGTGGCTGCAATGAGCAGGACACACCAGAGTGGGCAGTTCCTGGGTGGAGAAAACATTTGTCTTTGCACTATGGGCAGGGAGAGAGGTGGCAGATCTTTCCCAAACCCACCCACTTCTCTTGCATTCTTCATCTTAGTAAAACACCGTCTGCCACCTCGTTGGTCAAGTCAGAGATCTTGGAGTTGCCCAAGACTCTTTCCCCATTTCCACTCCAGCACCATGGAATGGCAATTCCTTCCTCTGTAATCTCTCTTCAAGCTGTGCCCATTTCTTCTTCCCCTCTGGAACCTCCCTTGTCCAGGCCTCTGTTCATGCTGGGCCACAGCGGTAGCCTCCTACCAGTCTCTACTTCTAGTCTTGCCTCTTAATAACTGACTTTCCATCCTTCACACAGAGTCATCTTTCTAAAGTGCAAATCTGGCCATGTCACTTTCCTGCTTAAACCTTTGGAAGGTTCCCCATTGCCTTCTGGAACAAGTTCAAACCTGATCTATGAGGTGTGGCCTGGCCCCACCCCCTCGCCAGTTGTATCTGTCATCATGCCCTCACTCAGGTTGCTGTGCCCCTCTCAGCCACTGTGAACCTCTTGTAATTCTGGGTGCTACCAGGCTCTCTCTTGCTTCTAGCCTTTGTGTGTGCTTTCCTCTGGATTCTCTTTCTCTTTTCTATTGGCTAACTCTACCCTTTTTTTCAGGTGCTAGGTTAGGAATTGCTTCTTCTGGGCTATCTTTTCTGACTCCCTCAGTCCAGGCCTGGATTTCTCTACGCTCCCATAGTGTTCAATAAATTCCCACAGCAAGTACTGATCATACCGATCATAGTACATAGAAAAGGCCTATTTGTGCAGTGGAAGATTTTTCTTTTCTTTATAGAGGGTTCAGAATTTCTCTTGAAGAAAGAATTGAATTTATTTAGGAAAACATCTTGATAAGTCACTTGGTTTAGAAGGTGAGACTCTGGGGGCCTGGTTTCCTAGGAGATGAGGAAACAAAAGAGATGACTAAGCTGTTACATATAAGGACCAGATGGGAATATAGGTGTTAGTGAGAACAGATCAGGGGAATTGGACATGGAGAGGATGGTTGAGCCCAATGGTAGGCTAGCCAAAGAATTTTCAAGACCAGAATAACTCACGTTTAATTAAAGTTGTAGGCATTTTTAAGGCATAAACATCTGTCAGCTACCCAGACCTCTAGTAAAATTTATCCTATACTCTAAGGACTTGTGTGGGTGTGTGGTATAAATTCAGAAAGTGAGGTGGGTTCATGTCTGGGTTTCTTCCATGCGGAAGTAAATAGCCATAACACATTGCAGAAAGGGGAAGAATCTAGAAGGGAAAGATGTCACAGGTGAATACACTAAATCAGGATGGGAGCTCTCCTTGGAACACACAGGAACTTTGCATGTAGGAGCAGAGGCTATTGCATGTTCTGCAAATTGTGGATCAAGGATGTAGACCAACTTTACTTAGATTTATAAGCGAGGGGACTCCACTTGAAACAGGGGTTCCAATTTCTTGTCTACTTCCTTACTGAGGTAGACCTAGGAAGGAGGCATGTTTCCATTATACTAATCCCACAGTAAGCTTAAAAATGGGCATGCAAGGAATGAAAGAAGAAAAATGATGAAAGGTAGGAAGTAGTAGGTCTAATTTGTGGCAGCTATTTAAGCTTTCAGAAATATCCTGGACAAAACTGAGGTCTCAGATCATAGGATTCATGGAGGAAGTGAGACAGAGGAGGCTTACAGATTCCCAGCTGATACCAACCCCTTCTACGTGCAGGAACTGCTGCTTGATCCCCTTCCAAGAACATCTTATCTGAAAAGGTGACTGGGCTTAACAGGGACCAGGACGCTGGCACAGGGAAGGAGCCTAGGCATCGGGCTGAAGGCCAGACAGAAGAATCAGGGCTCATCAGCACATCTGTGGAATGTTTATTTCTGTGTTTCCAGCTCAGGACTAGATGGCTGGAAACTACATATTGACTCATTATCTTCAGAGCCATGAATGAGATGTGGTCCCTGCTCTCAAAGTATTTACTGCCCCTCTGGAAAGCAGGACATGGGTGTAGGAAAGGAGAAGGTGCACAGGATAAGATGTCGTATGAGTTGGACTTCTGGAGCCTGGGTATGGGATGATCTCTCTGATCCCTGTGAACATCATCAGGTCTGCTTGGCTGTGGCACCTGCTGGAGCCAGAAGGTGAAGCCCAGGGCTTGCCATCACAAGCCTTTGAGCCATCTGCTTCCCCTGATGAGTTGTTATTAACAGTTTTGTTTTTGTGTGTGCTGTTCTTGTTTTATTTTTCATAATTATTCATGTTTTGTCCATATTTTATGCCATTATCAAAAAAATAGGATCCTCTCCCACATAATGGATTTAGTGATAACTTAGATATTAAAGGTACAGATAAATTGGTTTTTGCTGTGTGAAATTGATGGGCTTTTCTAAACCCCAAATCAAATAAATGCCTTGTGGTGGTCTTAATTAATCATCTTTTACCATACTACCAAGATTATTTTTTCCCTATAAAAAAAGGTGTCTGTCAGTGGAACAACCTGAACGAACTGGAATGTTCTTGCTTAATTTAATTGCCTGGAAGAAAACCTCATAGTTGATGGACTTTAATCAGATCCTCTTCTCTGTTCCCTGGAAATCTTTCTGAAGTACTGCTCCTAACCCTTGGTCCCTGGGGTTTCTCCCCCTCCTGAGGCCAGTGTGGGAGTAGTTCTTTGGAAAGCTGGCGGGGAATAGCAATAGTGAAGAGTGTGTGTGTTTTCCTCTCTGAGAAAGGTCACGGGAAAGCCTTTACTAAGAATAAGTTTTCTTTTGGAGGATATTCAGCACAATTTGGAGTGGGCCCTTCAGTGAGGGCTGCACCCTCTGGAGTTTCTGGGGGTGTCAGCAGCAAGAGCAGCAGCCTCAGACTTGGGGAAAGAAAATGCCACTCCCCCCATCAAGGGATGCCCACCTTCCCTTGGGCGCCGGTGTGTCTATCTCCTTCTGAGGAATAGACCTGGCACTGGGAAAGGCTTCCTATAGCCCCCTTTGCTCCCTGATCTGTCCTTCCAGCACTGTATTTCTCCTATTTCACAGGGTAGCCCCAGCCTTAGCATCACTCTAGCGGCTCTGAGTGTTTGTAGATCCTGCCATGGCTAGGGTATGTATGGTCCCTAGCCACCTCGCCTTTGCTCATGCTGTTCCCTTGGCCTGGAATGTCCTTTTCCCCGCTTCCTTCTGTGGCTGACTCCCCTCCGCCCTTGAATATTCAGCTCAGGTGTCAGCTTTTCTTGGAAATCTTCCTTGGGTCCCAGGTTAGATGTTTCCTCTGAGCTCCTAGCATGCCCTATGCAGACCTTAGTCCTAGCTCCAGGTGCATGCTATTGAATGAAGTTTTTGCTGGCTTGTCTTCTTTACTAGACCCCGTGACCCTTGAGTGTAGGGATATTGTCTGCTTCATTGTGGAATTCCCACCATTCAGCACAATACCCAGTGGGGTGGGTACCCAGGAAATATTGTTGGATATGAGAGGGAAGGAGGGGAGAGAGGGGTAGAAAGGAGAGAGGGGGGTAAAAGAGACTGATTTTAGGATCAGCTTTCAGGAATGGTACATGATCTCAATGTTGTGCTCTAATTCATGGCTTGCTGACCCTCTCCATGTCACTTGAGTACTGACCCAGGGCTCAGCTGCCACAGGTGCCTCAGACCAAGGGTTAGAGGATCTGAGTCTTGGAGCACTTGTATCCATCTGCAACTGGTTGAAAGCTCTGCTCTAAATGTCTTTCTCCCTGTGAACAGGCTCTGCTCTGGCTTGTTAGTAGACTCACTTTCCCTCAATGTGCCCTGTATTTTTTAATCTCCCTCCTCTTTACTTCTGCCATCCTCCGTGCCTGGGATACCTGTCTTTGCCCTTGTCTTCTGTGTGAGCTCTTTATCTATTTTCTAAGATCTTGTTCCAGCCCTGTTTCTGGGACTCCTCTACTACCACAGCCTGCTGGCCCACAGACCTCCTTCTCCTCTGCATCCCGGTGGTCCTGACTCAGACCTTCTACATTGTCACTTAGCATTCACAACTCGCCATTGATCAATGTCCCCCTTGGGATCCTGTCTCACCAGGAGAACAGTAAGTAAACGGCTGACCAACTGTGTCTCTCTGACTCCTCCGCCTGGTCCCTAGCCAGTGCTTGGTGGGTGTCTGGAATCCTTCCTTCCTTGGACTGGTAGCCCTGGGAGGCTGCTCTAGGAAAGGTGGGCCCAGAGCTGCACAGAGGACAGGGATGGGGGTACCCAGAAGTGGAGTAGGTGGGTGTTGGCATGGTGTGGTTTCAGGGACCTTCCATCCAATAACATCTCCACCTAGAATGCCACCATTAGAGACTGCAGTCTCTCACAGACAGCATTTTTGACAAGGCAGAAGCAGCCCAGAAGAGAAGTTTACACTTCTGCTTTGGGCCTATCTGTGGCCAGGAGAGTGTCAGAGGGCAAAGGACAGGAGAGAAGCTGCATGGCGAGGAGAAGGTGAGAAGGCCCACTATCCTGACTTCTCCACGTCTGTGTGGGCTGGCCCAGCTGCAGGAGGCTGGTACAGAAAATTCAGACAGACCCAGGCCTCCCTCTGCTTCTGCCAATGAAACTGGGACCACCCTTTCCAATTGGGAGAGGCCACTGCAAATGAATTGCTTCTTTGAAATGTCCCCTGGAGTCATCCTTATGGAATCAAGATGCAGAAAATAGTTTAATGAGGACACCAACCTGCAGGTGTACCTGTGCTAATTCTGTAGACAAAGGCACTAACCTGACAGCTCAGGGAGGAAGGAGCCATTAAACCTCTTTTGGGAAACATCCGTCCTGCAGGGCCGACAGAAGCACCTTGCTAAAGCAGGAAGCAGGAGGCAGGAGGCAGGACTCTGCCCCATGAGCCTGGCCTGCTGGCCTGCCCCCCTGACAGGCTTGCCAATGTCCATGGGGCCCAAGGGCTGCTCCTCAGCAAACCACGGCACAGGGAACCCTGTGGGTTGTGAGGGGACCCTGTAGCATGGAAGGTGGGGAAACGAAAACAGGATAGAAATTCCCGCAGGAAGACTGAGACAGTGGACGGAGAGTTCAACATAACAGTGTTTGGAGATTGTTAACTGTGACTCATAGTAAGGTATATATTTAAAATCATGCTCTATTGCATCCTGTGTGTAATGAATATACACACATTCATATAACTGAAACAAAAGTTTCACGAAACAATACCTACCTTTACTATGAGCGATGCACTCTGAACATTATATTCCATTCTTCCATTTAAAAGAAGAATGTTGTGTAAAGCTTGTTGTGTCCCATTACACTGATTTCACAAACCCACTGACGTGCTTCCCACAGTTCCAAAAATGCAGATCAGGTAGAGGCAGGAGTTGGACTGGAGAGCAGGCAAGGCTGAGAGGCCCAGGGGAGATGGCATAACCTTGACCTCTATATTTTTTCAGCGGGAAAACAACTGCATGCCCCTGGCAAGGTTTGTTGTAAAAGTTCGATGAAGTAATCTGTGTAAAGTACTTAGTACGGGGCTTGACATTGCCAGCATTTCATATCCATTAGAGATGCTGCCGCCGCCAATGACGATAATGATACTGATTTTGATTTCCGTCTTCTTGGATTGTGAATGTACCCTGCTGTCCGCTGTGACGCTACCTCCTTTCCTAAAGCCGCCACCACTGGCATAAGGTTGCCAGCCACATTTGTAGCTGTTTGCAAGCTCCTCAGAGAAGTGAGATGCATGTTGAGAAGATGCTGGAGAAGAATCAGAGCTTTGTTTAGGGCCTACAGTTAAGGCTGGGACCTCGATTTGTAACATCTGCAATGTGTTTGCAGCATGAAAGATTCTCTTGCACTTCCTAGGCTTGGTAAATGATGGAGACAAAGGACAGCAATGTAGAGAAGCAGAAAAGATGTCAGCCAAAAATGGCAGAGGAAAAGGTCATAGACTGGGCAGAGGCTGCCTGGAAAACAGTGGTAGACCGGGAGTCAGGGCAGGCAGTGGCCACCAAGTTGTTCCACGTTTTGGGCAAGTCTTTCTTCATGCTCATTCTTGATGGTGAGAAGCTCTGTGTCTCCCTCTCTCTCACCTGGACCTCTCTTCCCTGGCTCTGACATGGGAGAGGGCAAGAAGACAGGAGGGAGAAGTGTGCTATGGGAGTACCTAGCCCTGAGCTGCTGGGGACCGAGGTGGACAGGCCCGGCACCTGGAAAGAGACCTCTCAGGCCTGCCTGGGAGAGGCAGGTCACCTGGCTCAGGGCTGAGCAGCCACACCCATTTTGGTCGCAGCCTACAGGAAGTCCTCTTTGGAGCCCTCTGGCTTGCGCCCTCTGTCGTGTGGATTTGGCACATTGCAAAAACAGTGGGCTCCTTGCCCCTTCCACATGGCTCATATGTTTTCGATTCCCTCTCTTCTCTAAAGTGAGCTGGAGATGTTGGTGTCACAGCAGGGCAATGCCGTGAAGCCTGGAAGAAGGGGGGCAGGGCAGTGAGAAGCCTGGGCCTCTGGGTGGGCTGGCCTTTGGAGAGCAGGTTGTTAAGGTGGTCAGCTCCAGGCAGTCGTAGATCTTTGCAGGCCTGACCTGGCCTGTTAAACCCCTGGGGGTGATACCAGAGAGCCCGGAGCTCATTGCTGATACAAATGTAGGCTGCGATTCTGAAGGCAAAGGTGGGCCATGGTTGGCCTTCCTAGAACCCTCTGGCTCCCAGTGGTTGGATGCCCCTGCTTTCCTCTGCAATGCCCCATCCCTCAGGGCGTTGGCCAGTGGCAGTGACTGCTGGCCTCGGGAGCCCAGGCTGAGGCCAGGCCAGTGCCCATGCAGCTTTGTGCTGCTTCTTCATCTGTGGCCAGACAGCCTGGTGGGTGCTTGTTGGTGCCACGAATAACATTTTGCTAGAGTGGAAGCCCAGAAAAATTCTTCTTTTGTTAGGTTTAAGTCTCTCCCTGAGATATCCCTTTTTCCACTCTAAAAATAGCTGCCTAGCACAGTTGCTACATTTGAGTCACCCACTCCCTGCTTAAGTACAGTGCTCACACTCCCTGCTTAAGTACTGCTTAAGTACAGGGCTAGGTGAAGGTCAGAGCCTGCGTCGTTTGCCCCTTCTCCCTTCTCTGTCTCTGTCTCTGTCTCTAAAAACCTCACAGTTAGTTACATGAAACAGTAAATGAACACTTGCTGTTTTGTAGAGCGTCTTCTCTTTGTCTTGCTCTGTGTTCTGCTCAGTGCAGGTAGCAGGTGCCATGCCAGGCCCAGGCCTTGTTTTCTGAGGCTTCTAGAGGGACTCAAGGGGCACTGTAGCCCCTTGGAGACCCAGTTGTACCCTGAGGAAGGGCTGCGAGGGAAGGGAGTTCCTCTCGCCTGGGGACTCGGGAAACTTCCTGGAAGAGGCTCACCCGTGGCCAACCTTGGAGGTGGGGGCATTGCCATGGCATGCCTGGCCCAGCTGGGGTAAAGGCTGGAGGGCCCTGGGTGGTGAATTTCAGCCCTGACCCAAGCTCCCCTAAGTCTTTGCCTTTGTGAGCTGGGGGAGCCTCAGGGCAGGCTCTTCGGTACCACTCAGGTGGGTGAGTGATGAGGACGTGGGCCCGGGGTCAGGCACACGCTGCATGCTCTCAATCCACTTGTGGGTCTGGCTGGGGGTTGGGGCGGGGGCACTGTCCACTGGAGGGCACTGCAGCACCACCTTGGGCCACCCTGGCAGCCCCTCTACCTTAAGAATAGAGCTTGTCTACTTCCTGCAGCAACCTCATGGTCAGCTCTAGAGACAGAGACAGGCCAGGTTCCGCCTGTCTAGCGATGATCTCCTGTGGGGCTGGGGCCTCCAGCGGGGTGCTCTGACACACAGTTTCCGGCACACTAGGCCCAATGTCTCCACATACCCCATGCCTCCCACCTTCATTCACATGGATCTGTACAGACATACATGTTCACCATCACACACAAACATGGGTCCACACATACACATTCCCAACCACACACATCTATACACTGACTGTCACACCATGTCAGTAACACACACACACACACACACACACACACACACACATGCTCTCCCACTGCACTTCTGTGGTGTACGTCGTAACATGACTGGCCCAGCCATGTGCCCCACACATGCAGGCGGCCTGGTGCAGCTGTTTGTGTGGTAGGGCTGATGTCATGTCAAGAAATTTCGTGTTATATTTAAAATGACACCTGTAAAAATAATCGTCAATTTGCAATTTAAATACTGTAATACTCAATTATGTGAACTGACAGGAAGTGCCCCAGTGGCTTTGGAGAACAACACGCTTGTGTGCCGCCACCCTCCAGTGTGCTGGGAGCTGCGAGGTGGGGACAAAGCCCAGCCTTCTTCCTGAGCCACCTGCAAGGTTGCCGGGGTCTAGGGCTTGGTGGCTTCTATACCCTGAGCGGTGCCCAGCGCTGCCTGCTTGCTGTCTGCACATCCCTCTGTCCTCCTCTCCCAGCTGCTTCCCGAGAGAGCACCTCTTGGGGATTTAGCCAGGCAACTCGAAACACAGTTTCCACCCTGGGAAGACAGGAGGCTCTGGCGTGACTTTCAGCCGTCTTCCGGCCTTGGGTTACAGTCTGAACTCTCAGAATAACAGGCCAAAGCCACAATCCCTTGGCCTCACGAGACAATTTTGCCATTCTGCAGCCCCTTTCTCCCTGCCCCTTAGTCTTTCACACGCAGCATAAAGTCTGTAGTTTGCAGTTTCGCAGTTTGGAACCCGCAGCCCCAAGAACCCAGCCCCACTTCCCAAACACCACACCTGTGTCTCCATCTGGCAGCGCAGCCACCCCTGGTCGCCACGGAGCACAAGCGGCAGGGTATACTAAACAGCACACTAATGGTGGTGCTAGCCCCTGCATTCACACCACTCCTGAGAGTCCCTCAGCTCAGCCTCACAGCCCCCAGCCACTGGCCATCCCAGAGCTTACAGGCTGAGCTGCACCCACACAACATCAGCCTGTGGGTGTTCTGCAGGCACCCCATGCTGAGCACACCCACACTGAACACCCTTCTCTCCTAGACTCACTCTTTCTTCCCTTTTCTTTTCTCCCACTGTGAGTGACTGCCCCTCACTCCCAGCTAACCATGCCAGAAAACAGGTCTTTGTTTTTGTCTTCCCCGGCTTCTTTGCCCACCCTGGCACCCCAGCCAATTGGTAACTGAGTCTTGTTTCTTCTACCCTTATGTATCTCTCCTATCTGATTCCACTCAGTTCTCTACATCGGTCCCAGTCTAGGAGCATTTTCTCCTCTGTACCAGCCTCCTTGACTCCAACTCTGTTTCTTTTCCATGGAGGTGGAAGAGCTGTTCCAGAGCAGCGCTGTTCAGTAGAACTTTCTGGGATGACGGAAATGTTCCACACTTCCACCATCCAATATGACAGCTACCAGCCACATGTGGCTATTGGGCACTTGAGATATGGCTAGTACAACTGTGGAGCTGCATTTCAGTTTTATTGAATTTTAAGTATTTAAATAGTCACATATGCCTAATGGGTATCACATGGGACAGGGTGGCTCTAACTTATGACTCAGAGCAGGCCATGCTGCTACCTCCATGCCCTCAGATTTAGAAGAAACGTTGACCTCTGTAGTCCACCTGTGGCCCTACCCCTGTCTCTGGTCTCACATCTCCTGGCTCGCCCTTCCCTTTCTGTGCGCCAACCTACTGGACTCCCCCAAGTTCCCTGAACTGAGCACTCCTCTTTTGCCTACTGTTGGGATTCTCACTGTTTCCTCTGCCTGGAGACACTCCCTCCCATCTATGAGACATGTTCCTTCCTGACCCTCAGGACTCAGTGAAGGCCGCCCCGCCCCCAACCTGGGGCCCTCCCTGTTTTCCCCAGGCTGACCTGGGCCCCAGCTCTGTGCTCCCACAGTACCTGCTGAAGCCGTTAGCCCCCTGTGGGACAGTCACCTGTATCTGTGACTCTCCTTTCCTGGATAATAACCTCCTTGTGTTGAGAATTGGGTTCTGCCCTTGGGAGTCTCCCCCTGCACCTGCCTCAGTATCTTGCACACAGTAGGTGCTCAGCCAGTGTTTGCTGAATTATTAAATGGAAAGACTGGGTGGCCCAGACACCAGCTGTGGCTTCTCAGCAGTGTGTGTCCTGGAAAGCGCAGTTGAGATGGATGCAGAGTAGAGAAATTTTTGGATTCTGTGGTCTGTTTCTTAATGGCCTCAGTTTTCAAGGTAAGGATGCGTTCATGCCTTTTGATTGACAACTCACTACTTGCTCTTCTCTTTCCTCCCCTTTCCCATCCTTATCTTGATGCTGGAGACAGAGTTGTACCAGCCTGTGCCCTTGGATGCCATTCCAGGCAGCAATTCTGAAGACAGCTCTGGGGCTCCTCAGGTCTCTCTGCAGTGCTCCTCCTTCCCCTCTGCCTCCACTGCCCCATCTCACCAGCCCTCCCCACCAACATTTCCTCCAAGCCTCAACAAGTCACCCAAGAGTATTCTAAGGTCCCTGCTGGTCTATCTGACAATATGCAGATAGGCCTTGGTTGCCTTGGCTGGCTGTGACCTTGCTGACATCTATAGACAGAGAGGTGGGAATGAAAGACACATTACTCCTGGATGTTGGTGGAGAAGGTGGTGGTTGCAGTTGCTACGCAAGAGTCACCAGGCTGCAGACTCTGTCCACTTCTGAGAGTGCAATGTCCCCTGTGATTGGCTGGGATTTCTGAGCTTTTCAGCTTGCATATGGTGAGAATGTTGGCACACCGCAGCCCTGAGGGCCTGGGCTTTGGACTCCGGCAGTCCCACATGTGTGTGCTACCTCTGCCGCTCTCTGGTTGTATGAAGTCAAGCAATGTCTGTAACCTCACTGAGTCACAGCGCTCTGCTCTGTAGAATGGAGATGGGATCCTCTCTACCTCCTGCAGTGTCTGTGAATGCCATAACACAAGCCAGAGTGCTGAGCACCGTGCCCACCCTAGAAGAGGGCTCGGTGTATAGTAGCAGCTCTTAATGCTCCCAGGATGCCTAATAAATTCTTTCAGAAAAGTATGTGCCCGTGTGTGTGGTTTTTATTTGGCCAACCCAAGAGCTCTACTACTTCCCTTTTCTAAAGGCTAAAGGCAGGAGTGTGTAGAATCTCTTTTTCATGGTTAGGAATTATAACAACTCCCATTTACTGAATGCTCTCTATATGCTAGATATTCTCCTAAAGGCTGTATAGACATTTTTCTAATCTTTGCTCAAACTTCAAGAGAGCTATCAACTTTCTCATTCTACAGATGAGGAAGTTGGCTCAGAGAAATAGTTATTTTTCCAAATTCACACAGCGTGTGTGAAGCCAGAATTCTAACCCATGCTCCTCTCTTTATAAAATACAAATATCCTAACAGGCAGTGAGACACGCTCCACATTGGCCAAGGCAAGGCCTATGGTGTCTCAGAGCTTGTTTCCTCCTTATGGGGCCCCACCTCACTCTTGTGAAGTGGGTAGGGTGGGGGTTGTTATTCTCTTTTGACAAATGAGTAATCAAAGCTCAGAAATAAGAGGTTCCTTCTTGTAGGATTTAACATTTTGAAAGTCATGGGGCACTTCCTGGGTCACTGAAAATCAGATTCTGTTCAGGAAAATTAATGGTGGCTGGAGGTCAACCCCCATACTGGCTGTGGGTACCCTGGAGTTCCTTCCCATCCACCTCTTTGTGCCCTTTCTTTTCATAGCACACTCAGTGGGAGAAATGTTTCTTGGACCTTGCCTTTTGGATTTTTGCATTTTTCCCTTATTCACACCAGACCCGGCATCTCTAGAACTTGGTTTTTCTTGGAAAGGCTGCCTGTGAGAATGGGCTTTTGTTTGGATTTCTCCTCTCCCTGGAGGGGTAGGTGGGGAGCTGGGGGCCAGCAGGTCAAGGGCCCTCCCTTCCCTCTTCCCGTGGCCTCTCTAGCACTGCAGGCAAGGCTCAAACCCCAAGGAGAAGAGCTTGTACCTTCCCTGGGAAGAAAGGCAGGGGTCTTGCTTCAGGACTCTGGGCATGATGCTAGAGTTTGGTTGCTTCTGACCTTGAAGACTAATTCTAGAAGCTTCTTTGTTCAGGATACTTTGGGCAGTTAGTAGTTCTGTGTGTGTGTGTGTTGGGGGGGGGGCGGGGAGGGGGTTCCTTTTGACCCAAATGTTTATGCATTGCCATACATCAGAGACCCAGAGTAGCAAGGGAGAAGCCTCCACTGCTTCTGATATGTGTGTGTGTGTGTGTGTGTGTGTGTGTGTGTGTGTGTGTGCACAAAGCCTCAGTCACTAGGATGCTGAAATATCACAGGGGTGCTTTCCCATTCATTCTTCTTGAGATAGGGGATGCATCTTATTCAGGGCCACATCCCAGCCCTTAGCCCAAGGTTTGGTACAGAGAAGGCATTTATAAATAATACTTGAGTGGATTATTTTATTTTTAATTATTCCTTTACATTTAATTGAAGTATAATTACATACTATAAAATGCACAGAACTTAATGCACATTCAATGAGCTTTACCAACTGTATATCCCAATGTAACCAATAGTCCAATTAAGATAGAAAGCATTTTCATTACTTGAGAAAATTCCCCATGTCATTTTCCTCTAATTTCTCTTTCTCTACAGAAAAAAAAAACTCCACTATTTTGAATACCATCCTCATAGATTCATTTTGCCTGGTCTTGAATTTGTAAAAAAAAAGTTGGATCAAACAATATGAACTCTTTTTTCTCCTTGGTTCCTTTTGCTGAGCATAATATTTTTGGGATTTATCATGTTGTTTTTGTGTATCTGTCATCATTCCTTTTTATTGTTACCTGCTATATCATTATATGGGTCTTACCCTTGCTTTCTTTATCCATTTTCCCTTTGAAGAACTTTGGGGGTATTTCAAATTTGGAGCTTTTATGAATAATGATGCTGGGAGGATTAATATATAAGTCTTTTGTGGACACATGTTTTTATTTCTTTTGGGTAATTACGTAGGAGTGAAATTTCTGGATCGTGAAGTAAGTGTATGTTTTACTTTATAAGAAGTTGCCATACAACTTTCCAAAGTAGTTGTACCATCTTATACTTCTACCAGCCAAGTATGGAAGTTCCTTTCCAACATTTGATATTGATAGTCCTCTCAATGTGAACCATTATAGTGGGTGTGTAGTTGTAACTCGTTATGGTTCTAATTTGTATTTACCTGATTACTAATGATGTCAAATATCTTTTTATATGTTTATTGGCCATTGGGATTTCTTTTTTGTAAAGTGTTCATCTAAGCCTTTTTTCATTTTTAGGCTCTTTTAAAAATTGATTTATGGGAATTAAAAAATATAATTTGGATTCTAATTCTTAACTGGATATATGTATTGTAAATATTTTCTTGTGGCTTATTTTTTTTCATTTTTATGTGCCTTTTAGTGAGCAGAAGTCCAGTTTATCAATTTTTTCTTTTTGAGATGGGGTCTCACTTATGTTGCCCAGGCTGGAGTGCAGTGGCATGATCAGTGCAGTAGTTAATTGCAGCCTCTGCCTCCCCAGGCTCAGGTGATCCTCCCACCTCAGCCTCCTGAGTAGCTGGGACCACAGGCACATACCACCATGGCTATTTTTTTTTTGGTATTTTTTGTAGAGATGGGGTTTCACCATATTCCCCAGGCTGTAGTTTATCAGTTTTTTTCTGTGGTAACCACTTTTTCTGCTCTGCATAAGAAATCTTTGCCTACTCTCCAGTCCTAAAGATATTATCCTATATTTTCTTGAGGGTTTTAGCTTTTTCATTTAGGTTTGTAAAAAAATTGTTGAGTTATTTTTTGTGTATGGTATGAGGTGTGGGCCAAAGTTCAGTTTTTGTTGGGCAAACCCTATAGACAAGCATTTGCTGAGTGCCTCTTCTGCTACGAGAAGCAGGCTGATCCACCTGCATTTCCACGAGGGCGGTCTGAAGCCCAGGTGTCCTTGGCAACCTCTGTGTAAATTGAAAAACAATTTATCTGCCTTGTGGGAGTGCTTTCCTATGCAATAATTAATTAAGTAGTTGTTATAATTCGGTCGTGTATGGCCCAAAACGTAACTTTCAGTAATTTAAACGGGAGTGATCATCTCTTTGAGATCAAGGAAGGCTCCTTGGAGGAGGAGGTTCTTGAGATGGGCTTTGAGGAATGGGGAGGGCTTTAGTGCACTAAATGTAGGACATGAACTCAAATAAAATCAGTGGCTCCATGTCTGTGTCCCTCACGAAAGGAAAGGTGCTTAGTGGGGAGATCACACACATACACACACACACACACACACACACGTACGTATGTATCTATATATGTAGATCTATACACATATACCTATATCTCCAGTCTGTGTCTATATCTCATCTGTATCTAAATCTACTTCTAAGTCTAACTCTAGTTTATATCTATGTCACCAGAAATCCCTAGGCTTAGGAGTAACTTACAGACACAAACTTTCATGGAACTTGATGGCATGAGTTAGACAGGGCTGGGCATAGGACAGTTCTTCCGATCTGCTAGCAGATTTGTTGACACTGTTCTGGCCTAAGCAGCAGACTCATAGATTGGCACTGAGCAGGCCCTCAGTAATCATCCAAGCCAAGCCTATCATTACACAGACATAGAAATCGGGACCATAGAAGGGAAGGGACTTCTCCCCATGTTCTACAGTAGGTCATTGGCAGAGCTAGGGGCACAACTCACGTTCCCTGGTTGTGAGAACTGGGCTCTCACCATTTACAACGTCCCACTCTCTTAGAGCCGGGGAGCCTTTCATCCCTCTGCATGTCTGAGTTCCCTTGTTGCTCTTTGATGTTGTTACCATTTGTGAGTCCTCTGTGGATTAGAGAGGTTAACAGGGTATCAGCCTTGCTACTAGATTTGAACTTGTTAAGCCATCTGAGCTTCTTTCTTTTCTCCTTCTAATAACTCATGAGCCATTTAAGGACAGAGGCTGTGTTTTAGTGACCATGGCATCCCCACATTTAATGAACTGACAGCTTGAACCATACTCTACATGCTGTTCAAGTTCTGCCTCAACAGGGAAACTCTGAGGCCAACACGTCATTCCCAGGCCAGCTGGTAGCTCTGCCAAACACTCTTCTTAGGTTCAGCAACTCCTCCTCTTCTAGTGGCTTTGATGGGTTTTGTGTTTTTCTTGTTTTCTTTTTAAGAACCCATCCAGCCTCCAAAACAGCCCTAAGTCTGTGCTTTGTCACCAACGCAGATGCTGTACAACCTTGTAGCAAAATAGCCCCTTTGAGGCTTAAGAACACTGGGGGTTCTTGCCTACAGTGTAGACTCCACCAAAAAATAGTAAAGGGAAGCTTGCTTGTCCATGTATAGCACAGACATTTCACAAGCAGGGCAGTTGGTATTCAGGTACCAGTTGACTCTGATGAGATCTATAGAGGGGGGCCCCAGGTTCAGGAGAGACATGTTTGTTGGCTCGAGCCCTTGGGTCACGGCAAGGCTGGAGTCCTCTGGCTTCTCTTTTCGGTTTCCAGTGACACACGCCTTCGCTCCCCGTGCTGGAGTGTCCCCAGGGAACCCCAAGCATGATACTATTGCTCCATTATTGGCAGCAACTGCTCCTAATTCTGCTGGAACCATAGCTGTGAGATTCCCCACAACTAGCTTGCCCCGGAGGGGAAGGATCCGTCTGATCGTGCTGTTCTTCTTTTTGGAGGCTGAGTGTCCCTTGAAATCGGATTCCCTTTGTTTATTTTCTCATAGCCTTAGTGATGGGTTCCTGCTGACTTAGAGGGAAGCTATGTATCCTGTGGAGGAGGCCGTGAATAGCTGTTTTTTTAATCCAAATTTGGGGAAGCCTCCACGGCCCCTGAGCTCCCCTTGAAGCATGGGCAGAGCTCAGCTCCAGTTTATCACTGAAGGCTGCTTGCCACTGAGGAGGGCTCAGGACAGGAGGGCAAACCCTGAGCTTTGCCAGGCAACCTGAGCCTGGAAGCTGAGAACAGACCTGGGGCCTATACTATGGTTCCATGACTGGCCCTACGGAAGCCAGTTCGTGCTGTTCCCGTGTCGATGTTCAATTTAGTCTTTCTTTGTGTGCCTTGCCTTCTCAGTTCTTATCATTCAAACCTCACGGAGGCCTAACCCACGTCACTTCTAGAAAGTTTCTCCTACCTTTTCAGCAATAATACTGTCACCTTACTAGTGTCAGTCTTTTGCTGTCTCCCTACTTTGGCATCCAGCAGTATCTTCCGTTGGTTTTCCCCAGCTGACCTCTTACTTTTCTGGGATGAGTTAGCATTGTCTCTCCAGTGAGAGTGGAGCCTGGGCACAAGGACCATGCCTTATTCAGCCCTGACTCCCACAGGCATTTAGCACCCAAGGGAGCTTAAAGACAATTCAAGGGCCACCATAAAAGTTTCTGCTGCCTCCAGGTAGAACTAGTCACCCTCTCCTTTGTATCCCTAAAATTCTCTGCACAAATGTCTCTCTTAGCATCTGCACAATGGGACTCTTGTTTGTTTGCAGGTTTTTCTCCTAATAACTTAATGAGCCATTTGAAGATAGGGGCCATGTTTTAGTCACCTTAGTATCCTCATATTTAATGAACCAACAGCTTGGACTGTACTCCACAGCAAATAAACCACCCTGCTGCTGAAGATCCATTTTAATAGGGAATCTTTGAGGCTAAGAGATTATTTGTGTTACCAGACAAACTCTACTGGGTGGAATAGTAGGTAGCACAGAACTTGCTCTGCTGTCTATTAGGGACTGGCTGAGCTCTGCTCACCTTGGGAAGCATAAGGGAGTTTTGCAGGTGGAGCAGAAACAAAGGTACCTACTACAAGCTGCCTCGTGAACCTGCCAAGACTTCCATGTTTCACCTCACTGTCTGACTGCCTAGGCAGGAACACTGAAGCAGGACATGGATGTGAAGGTGCCCAACCTGGTATGTGACGCATAGTAGGTGCTTAAAGAATGCTGGTTCTCTTTGTCTCCATCTTGATAAGAAATCAAATGAGTGTATATGGCCATTGCCCACCATGGGTTATGACTTAGAATTGAGGAAAGAATAAAGCATTGTTCAGCTTAATAAATTACTCCAGGCTGGGCGCGGTGGCTCATGCCTGTAATCCCAGCACTTTGGGAGGTCGATGGGGGTGGATTACCTGAGGTCAGGAACCCGAGACCAGCCTGGCCAACATGGTGAAACCCCGTCTCTACTTAACTAAATATACAAAAATTAGGCATGGTGGCACACGCCTGTAATCCCAGCTACTCAGGAGGCTGAGGCACGAGAATTGCTTGAACCTGGAAGGCAGAGGTTGCAGTGAGATCACGCCATTGCACTCCAGCATGGGCGATGGAACAAAAAAATAAAAATAAAAAATAAATCCAATAATAGGGTTGTTAGGGTCTGAAATTCGAAAATTTTCTCTCCACTTGCAGCGCTCCACACTGCCTCTTCTGGTTTCTATGGCACTTGAGCCCCAGACACCCGTGCTTTGAGTGAGTCTTATTTCCCTATCTAGGCTGTGAGCTCCTGAGGGCTGAGAGGTCGACTTCTTCTGGGGTCATTGCTTGCTGATGACAAGTGTGGGATGTTACAGGATGGAGATCACTGGAGCTAATCTAATGAGCTATCTGGGATCCCCTAAGCTTCCCTTCCTGAGTTTCCATCACAGCCAGGGCCCCTGATGCAGCCCAGATGATAGAGTGAAGGGGTGCAGGTGAGGGAAGGCAGAGGTGCATGGGGATAGAGGTGGCATTCCTGGACTTCCACGGAGCAGTCAGCATATTGGGTTAGCCTGAAGAGCATTCTGCTTGGCGTCCACACACAGCAGAGTAATGGCCCGGAGGACCTCACCCACGTTGCTAATGAGGAGTTGCTTAACTTCTAAAGGCCTGTTGACCTCTGGCCAGCTCCAGGCTGCTCCCCAGATCCCTGAGTTTGTTCTGGGCTTCCCAGAATGTGCTTCCCATCAACCTTCCTGCAGCTCACCCGAGTGTCTGAGGTGGAGAGTGAGGTAAGTTGATACTCAGTATAGCTCTGGGCCTAGTCCAGCCTAGCAGCCCAGCCCTGATTACACAGGCGGGCAGGCTCCCTGCACTATGTGACCAGCTGCATGGCTGACATGCCGGGCGACCAGAGCCGCTTATGATTCCCAGGAGGGGAGAGCTCAGGTCTAGGGCATGGGCTCTGATGGACGATTGTTATTGCAATGTGTGTGCAGTTGAATGACATCATGCTATTGAGTGCATGAATTTTTTTTGTCAGTCTTTTAACACAAGTTTATGTTTTTCAGACCTTAAAACTGCAGGTCATTTTTTACATTTGCTATTGAGAGCAGATGTGACTGATCCCTATCGGGTTCTACTGAAAAACGGCAGGGTTGCAGAAGGTCAAATGCAGAACGCCTTTCAATCTCCATTATTATTTCCTCCACTCAGTGGCCTCAGCAGGAAGCCCATGCTTGGTAATGGTAGCCTTCTGGAGACTCTCCACGCTCCTAGCCCCAGCCCCTGACCATTGGTGATTCCCACATGGAAAGCCACATGTAGGTTCAGCGGGCTGGCAGGGGAAAAGAGAGCATGGGCTGAGAAGCAGGAGACTTGGCACTCCCTGGTCTTGGCTTCCCTGTCTGTACAATGGGCATGTGGACTGGGAGGTCTGTAAGAGACTCATGACACTACTCTTGGATTTGGAGATGATCAGATTGGGAACTGTGTCTTTGGCATTGTTAGGTGCCCCTCCAGTGATTTGGGGAAGTTCCAGGAGATGCCTTTAGTGAGTGAAAATGTCCACTCTTTCCCTGCCCTGATACTTGGCAGGTTGAGCCAGAGTGAGGAATAGGTTTGGTGTTCCCCACACGAGCAGTATCTTCCATGTCGGTATCCATCATTGGGGTCTAGTGGTTACTCTTGAGGGCAGCTCTATTTTTACTGGTCACTTTTACAGGAAAATTTCCAGCTCAGACTTGGGAAAAGACATGCTCCCTCCAAAATCAGATTCCTTTATTCTTGGAGGATTGGGGGAGAGGAAGGGGTTGTAGGGGGTGGGCCTGTTTTGATGTCCACAGTTGTGGTGAGCACTGACCTGAGTCTAGGATCCTGATGCAAAGTGGGTGGGAGAGGGCCTGGAAGATGATTCTGGAGGAGACTCAACTCCCAAACAGAAAGACTGCACTTGCTTGAGAGCACAGCTGGACCTGTTCTGGGCTGTTTTCACAGAGGTAGCACTAGATGTTCCCCTCCCTAAGCTGCTACCATGGCAAAGTTAAGGGGTATTTGTGACATTCTGGGGATGGCCTTTTGATTCAGACAGGACATACACCTCTGAATAGAATCCAGGGGAGTCAACTTTCTGGCCATAAGGGCCTAAGTGTTACTATGGGAATTCAGCCATACATTCATTCATCTGCCCATCAATTGCTTCATCCATGTAAACACACATCCATCCATCCATCCATCCATCCATCCATCTATCCATCCATCCATCATTCCTCCCTTCCTTCCTTCTTTCCTTCCTTCCTTCCTTCCTTCCTTCCTTCCTTCCTTCCTTCCTTCCTTCGTTCCTTCCTTCCTTCCTTTATGGAGCATCTCCTTGTGTCTTCCTCTCATTAGGATGTAAAGATGGACAAGGCAGTCCCTGCCCTTGAGCTCAGAGCAGGCCCAGTAAAGAGTTCAACTGGATATGATGCAGACAGTAAGGGAGATGGGATAGAGTGAAGCTCCATGCTTACCTCCAGAGGGAAAGTTGAATGCCATAGGAATGCAAGGGGAGAAAGAACGGGGAAAGGAGCGGGGTTGAGAGGATTCACTCAGAAGAGGGTGCCAGCAGGAGGCTGTGAGGTTCAAGGACACTATTGACCTTGGGTGCCCTGGGCCTTCCTGCTTCACTTCCAGTGGCATCCACAGTGTAAGAGCTGGGCCATCACTGTGTCCCACTGAAAGGGACAGGGTTGAGGTGTGTATATGTGTCATAGTAGGTGGGAAGGCTTGGGGTCCCAAGGTAGCACTTCAGAATTTGGGCGTCTAGAAAATGGGGTTCACATTAAAGGTAACTCTGTGTTATTTGGTCCACTTACTTTTTAAAAAGTATATTTTCTTTTAAATAAACTTACTCATCTTTTTGACTTGGGAACATCTGTTTGCCCACAACACGTGTTCTTGGAAAGTTGGTGCATGGTAGCTATTCAGAAAGATTTGCTGACTGGGTGAGGCCAATTGTGTCATCCAAGGCTGAGGGACTCAGCATGGGAGTCCCATGGGAGTGAGTGGAAGTCCTGGACCTCAACAGAGCTTTGCCAGCAGCAGTAGGAATGGCAGAGTGTTCAGCTTTACTCTGACTCTGGTATCCATCTCTAAAAACGGGATGGTTGGAGCTATCTTCCAGCTGAAGCCAGAGATGCATGGCCTCCCTCAAGCTCATGCCAAAGGATATTATTCTTCTTGATGTTTCTATAAACATCTCGACAGCAGTGATTCCATGACTCAGATGCTTCAGCTGTAAAATAATCTCTGTCATATCTTTTCTTCCCTCTGCCCTGTGGGGACAGCATGGGGGCAGGATGAACTCATGGGCAGGGAAGCTCTCTGGGAAGTTCTGAGGCCCAGCCCATTGTGCTTAGCCCGGTAAGCAGCATGGAAGTAACAAGGAGTTAAATGGTTTGGCCAAAGGTAGCCTTTTCATTTTCCAGGGGGAGCCTTCTTCAGACACCTCAGGTTGGCCTTACTTTAAACAGGAGAGAGCAGTTTTTAGCAAGAAGCTCTGAGAAGAGGAAGGCCAAAGTGAGTCCTTCCTCAGGCCTCATGGGAAATTTGGCAAGCAGCATTAATAAAGGCATCTTTTTCTTCCTTTAATGTAAAATGCCAGGTTACGGTTGGCTAAAGCGCTGTAGCATTGGAGCCAGTTAATCTTCTGAGTCCATATTTTTTACTGGCACTGCGGGAGCTGTCTTGGGTTTTTGTTTCCAGCAGTGGGATATCAGGATTTGTATCCTATGGTATATTCAAAGAATAATTCTCCTTTTCTTTGATGTTCCTCAGACATCTTGAGACACTTAGGGGTGCACTCTCAGGGAATGTCGGAGGGCTGGGTTGCACAGCCCTCATTATGCTATTAAAATAGATCCAGTAAAGGAGGACTATGAATTTCTTGAGCAGAAAACTGCATTGCTAAGTGGAAGGCTGGTTCAGAAGTCACTCCTTGTCCTGACTTCTTGAACCAAGAACTATATTTTATTGCAGTTTGGGCAAGAGTAAGATGCTTTGCTGCTTCTATAATTGTTTCACAGTTAGAGGTTAACATGGATTGTTTTTCCTGACATTTGGAAAAATCATACTTAAAAAAATATAGTTTAGACTTAAAAAAAAAACATTGAAAACGCTGTCAGTTCATAACCTTGAAAAAAGTTTTAAAAACCTGCTGTTACTATGGGATAATTCTAACAGTCTCTTTGAAGTGGCATTTCTTCCCCTAGCCTTTGCTCACCAACCCGACAAAGCCCAGCCAAGGTGATTTTCCCAAGGGGCTATTTCCATCACATTGTTCTTCTGGTTACAAGACTTCAGTGGCTCCCTACTGCATCCAGAAGAAAGTACTGTACAATTAGCCAAATTGGTCAGACCCTCCCGATCAGGCCCCCCGGAGCCCTTTCAACCCTATCTACCAGGTGGGAAGCCTCCTTCCACCCCAGCGGGCTTCACATGGCCACTGTTAGATGTCCAGTGCTTCTCAGTCCCTTGTCTCTGTTTCTGTTCTCCCCATTTCCTGGCACTTCTCCTCTGTCACCCCCGGTCTCCACCCATCATCATTCAGTTCACCTCGTCCATCCAGAACAAGTCTCAGCTCCTTTAAAAAGCTTTCTCTGCTCATTGCAGCCCTGGGTGCTTCTCCTTTCTCCTTCTCAATTTTACATGCACATTATGGAGAGGCAACCAGTTTATTAGCAAAAGTCACACAGACCTGGGTTTAAAGCTCAGCTGTCGTATGCTGTGTGACTTCAGGCAACTTGCTTAACTCCTCTGATTTTCACTTTCCTCAGACAATGGCGATATATGAATACATACTTACCTCACAAGTTTGATATGCAGGGTCATGAGATAAATTAGGTGAGAACTCTCAGCCTAACATCTGGCATTTGGCAAGTGCACTGAGAATGTTAGTTTCTTTCCCACCTTATGACACTTCCTACATTCAAATAGTTATACTTATTGGAGGATTTGCCACAGCTCTGTCCATAGGACTCAAGCTCTTGGAGAATGGGGACTCATCTCCTATTACTCATAGTGCCTTGCATAGGACGAGATCAAGAGACACTGAGATGAACAATCAGGTGAAAGGGAAGTTGATGGGCTTTAAAAGAAGTGCCCAGGGGACTGTCACATCAGAGCCATGCCCATGAAGGCTAAGCCAGTGGCACTTAGGCGATTCATCAATAGGGCTGATTGAATTATTGTACCTCTCTTTTCTGGATGGCAGTAAGGGACCTCAGAGTCTCCACAGAACTGAGAGTAGGGAAGAGGTTTGCTCCAAAGCGTGCTCTATCCCTGGGGGCTCAGGAAACATGTTAATGGTGAGCTTAACTGGAAACCCCTTAACCAGCTGATCTAACAGCCTCTCCTCTATGACCTGACAAAACCATCAATGATCACTAGGGAATTTCAAGAGGGACTTTTAGTTATTTTGCAAATGAAGGAGCTAGGGAGGAGCATTCTCAGAGATAAGGGAGAATGAAAGTGGTGAGGAGGGCCCAGGGCCATTGCAGCACCTGGGGAGGTGGCTGGACTGTGGCACTAGGCGCAGACAGTGGGGAGAAGGGATGGTGGGTGGGGTGGCTCTGTGGACAAGCTGCAGAAGTGGCAGGCCCACGCTGGTGACATTCCCCTTGTTTGCCATGCCTTGATAATCTGGGTGGCCCCTCATCAGGGTGACACAACCTGCTGTAAGGTCCCATTCCAATACTACCTACTCCCTGAAGCCTTCCCAGAACCTTCATACAGAGGAACCTTGCCCTGTGTTGTCCTCTGACCTCTGAGCAACAACTGAACATGATGCCTTCCCTTATCTAACACCCTCACCAGAATGCAAGGCCTCAGAAGCAGTTGCTCTGTTGAAGGGGTTTTCCTCTTTCACCCTCTCACTTACTGACATTTATGGGGAGTTGACTGTGTCCCTGGTGCTATCGTAAATGTTTTATATGGATTTCCTCATTTCATCTTCATGAGAAATGCATGAGGTAGGCAGTATGCTTAGCCCTACCTAAACCCAAGAAAGCTGAGGCTGAGGGCCTGAGTGATTTGCCTCGGGTCATACAACTTATTTTGTAAAGGAGCTGGGATCTGAGCCCAGTCCAGCTCTGGAGTTTGCATTGCTAAGCATCATGCTACTCTGTCTCCCACCAGGCACGGAGGCAGTCCACAAAAGACAGTCATTGTACTGTCATTGTAATGATTTCAATACTGCTGCTGCTGATATGCTGCTAGCTTTGATTACAGTAACTACAACTACTGCCGCAACTAGTACTACAACAACTACCATAATTACTACAACTACTACAACAACCACTACTGCAACTACAACATCAACTACATTATCAACTACTGCTACCAAGTACCACTGTAACAACAACTACTAGCACAGCTACAGCTACTACTTCAGCTACTGTAACTACTACCACAGTAATCACCACAGCGATTACTACAACTGCTATGATTACCACCGCAACTACAACTATAGCAATGCCTCTCCTGCTGAAACATCTACAATTGCTACTACCACTACAATCACTGTAGCTATAACAACAACTATATGATGGCAACGACTACTAATACAAAACTACCACAACTACTACTACAACAATGCAACAACCACTACTACTACCACTTCTCCCGGATTGGGCTAGGACTCTTTATAGGGCAAGGATCAGAGAATGAATTCTCCTTTCTTTCTGCCAATATAGCATGGTTGCAAGTATGGGCTCTGGAGCCAGATTGCTTCAATTCAGAGCCTGGCTCTGTCAGTTATGAGCTGTGCCACACTGGACAGGCCACTTAATCTTTCTGTGCCTCAGTTTCCTCACTTGTAAATGGTGATGATAATGGTCTGCCTACATCAGAGGATTACAAGAGCTCCTATACATAAAGCACTTAGAACAATGACTGGCACCCAGCAGGAGCTCCATGTGAGAGCCATTTTCACTTCTCTTCCTTCTCCTGAGTCATAGTTTCTTGTTCTCAGCTGGCTTTCCTAAGTTCTTATTATGGGGAGAAGGCTCAAAAGTGGTTTGCTGATATGCTGGAGGGGCTGGTCTGGGGACCTGGGAACACAGAAGTGTGAGGACAGGAGCTCTTTCAGAAACCACCCCCAAGAGGCAAATGTGTGCTTCGGGCAGGCAGTCCTGAGCTTGTGCATATTGAAGGACCAAAAGTAATTTCTTAGAAACTCTGGGGTAAGAGTGCTAGACAGGTCCTTGGGGACTATCATGGAGGAGCCACTTTTTGAACTGGATGGGGAAGAGGGGCAGCACTGGAAGGAGTTGGAAGATGAGGATGAGAGAAGACAGTGAGGGTGAGGCCTGTGTCTGGACAGGGGCTGAATCAGAGGGAATACCCAGAGGTGTTTCCTAAAGCACTCAGAGCTGTGTCCTTCCACATGTGGATGGGAGGACAGGCCAGGCACCAATCTGGGCAAAAGGCCCCAGATGTAGGCTGCATGGTGAGGTGTGCAAGGATCATATTCTTCCTGGTGCCCTGGAGAGATGAGCTCACCCTCTCTGAACCCTTACCTCACAGTAGTTTGCCTCTCTTGTGGCATGGTGGGATCAAGGGCTTTGACATCAGGCTGATCTGTGTTTAAAATCATAGCTCCTTCCCCACAGTAGTGTGATCATGGGGTCTTAGGCAAGTGCTGGCTTTATTTGATCCTCAGTTTCATCTTTAAAATGAGGACCACAACACTTGTGCTATAGGGTTTTTCCTGAGGATTAAATCACATGATATTTGTAAAGGGTGTTGAACATAGCAGACAATAAATAGGGGTCTTTTTATCCTCCAACACTGGTTCTCAGGATGTGGTCCCCGTGCTGGCAGGATTGGCATCACATGGGAACTTGTTAGACATGCAAATACTTGGGCTCCGTCTACTGAATCTACTGATTTAGATTTTACTGAATCTCAAATCTGGGGTGAGGCCCAGCAATCTGTGCCCTCCCCGCTTTCCAGGTGCTTCTGCTGCAGGCCTAGGCTGAGAAGCGTGGACCTAGTGCAGATCAGGATTAAATGCAAGAACACTTGTGAGGCTGCTGAGCACAGAGCCTGGTACACAGTAGGTGCTGAATATCTGATAGCTCCCCTTCTTCCTCCTACCCAGGCAAGGCCAAGCCCGATGGCTTACCCTAAGAGGTTAATGCTACCGCAGACCTCCCGGAGGTGAAAGGGCCTTGTTCTCCCGGAGGATAGACACATTATGACGGCTTCATTTGATTAAAAGGGGATGTTGATCATTAGTTATGACCCAAATTTCTTCTCTCCCCAGCAATCACTCAAAGTGTTCCCAGATGCGCAGGGGGCTATTGGGTACCTGTGAATACAACATCCCTTTATAACGAGGACGCCCATACTAATGGAGACTTTCAGAGAAGGGTAGTGGGCCTCCGCAGCCCCTCAGGCCTGCCTTAGGTTTGATGGAGTGAATGATTGAAGGGAAACATATGCATTCCAGATTGGACCCAAAGAGCTGAGCTTTGAGCGGCGGCCTGCTTCCAGCGGCTGCCAAGGGGCGGTGGGGGAGCTCAGCAAGAATTTGTTGTTCCCGTGGGGCTAATTATTGACTTTTAGAGGCAAGTAGCTGCCCCAATTTTGGTTAGCAGAGTTGTTCGTTACTGCATAATTAATAGGAAGGGGGGACCCTGGTGCAGAGCAAGGCAAAGGGCCTGAATATTTTTGTTTAAGGAACATGGGGCAACAGTGGCCAAGGTCAAATATTCGGTTCTTTTAGACAGAGTGGGCAGCCACTTAGGCTGGCAGGGCTGGCTGGAAGGGGGAAGGCGGGCATGAAGGTGAAGGAATCAGAGTTCTGGCCTTAGGCAAATTTGAGTGGTTTAAAGGATCACTGCCCCAGTGGCCCCAAGGCGGGTTTAGTTTTAGAAAGAATGAGCTTTGCTCCCAAGCTCAGGAAGCAGATGAGGAATCTTCCATCTGCAGACGATGGAATGGGTCTCCCGAGACCTCTGATGATGTGATGATGTTTGAAGGAAATTCGCTGATGCTGGGATATGGACAGAGCTCTACCAGCCCCGAAAATGAGACAGGGTTCACTCAGCATTGAACAGAGACCTAAAGGTGGTCAGGGCATGGGCGTGGCTGAGGATTTAAGGCTTGGGTCTGGTTAACCTTCTTGTGAGGCGGAAGACAAGAGACAGGATGCAGGGAACCTAACCTGTCTCTCAAGCCTGTGGTTACAGCAGCTTTTTCTTGCTAGGAGCTGATGTGTCCTAAGCCTTTTGTGCTGCTTTAGGTCTAAGCTAAAACACCTTCAGGTCCCTGAACTATGGGGTGAGGGCCTGAGTGCCTGACAGACCTCAGTGGAGGGAGCCCCTGGGGAAGGGTGGGCAGGTGCAGAAGGAGGGGAGGAGAGCCAACGGGCAGGGCAAGGGAAACGTGAACCTCCTGAGTGGCCGTGACCTGAGTTTCTCTATGCTGTGGGGCTGGGAAAGTTCCAGAATGGGAGTTCGAATATGAAGCCCTGGCTGGAAAGTCAGGAGCCCTGGGTTCTACCCGGTTCTGTCACTCACTGGCTGTGTGCTCTGAAGAAGTCCTGCCCTACTGGGCCCTACATCTTCATCTGCAGAACTGAGAGGAATGAATGTTCTTAATGACCCTTTTGAAAAATCTCTTGGCCTATGACACTGCAGTAGAGAAAAATAGAATTGGTATGATGTTTCTCTTCGACTATCATGCTTTCCTCTCCCTTGGTGTCACAGGTGGGAGATACAGTGGAATGAAAGACACAGGGGAATGCTGTAGGCAGAAAGCAAGGCTGTGACCCTGTGGAACGTGGCTGCTGGGTTATGGCTTCCTGGGAACAAGACTCCAAAGTGAGGGGGGAAGCATCTTAAAAACAGATGCAATCAACTTTGGGGCAAACCTCTAAACAGGCTTTACTTCATTCATGCAGAGACTCTTCTTCATCTTTCATAATCTGTCCGAATTACAGGTAAATCAAGTTCATCATGGAGGAAGGTGGGCATTGGAGGTGGTGGAGAAAGGAATGACCACGGAGGTTGAAAACAACATACATTTATTATCTTACAGTTCTGGAGGTCAGCAGTGCAAAATGGGGCTTATGGGGCTAAAATAAAGGTGTTGTCAGGGCTGCATTCCTTCTGGAGGTTCTAGGAGGGGATCCATTTCCTTGCCCTTTCCAGCATCTAGAGGCTGGACAGATTACTTGGCTCATGACCCTCTCCTGCATCTTCAAAGTCAGCAATGGCTGGACAAGTCTTTCTCATGTCACATCACTCTGGCACTGACAGTTCTGCCTCCCTCTTCCACATTTAAGGGCCCTTGTGATTACAATTAGGCACACCTAGACAATCCAGAATGCTATCTCTATTTTAAGGTCAGTTAGTTAGAAACTTTAATCCCATGTGCAATCTTAGTTTCTCTTTGCCATATAATGTCACATAGGCACAGGTTCCAGGCATTATGACACGGACACCTTTGGGAAGCCCTCATTCTGCCTACTACAGGTGTTAGTTTACAAAGAGCAGTACCAACCCCAGGTGCCATAAGCCCCAATGACAGTGGCCTCATTCCCAAAGATTGGCTCCTGGGCAGCCTTTTGGGATACCTGGTTTCAGAGTTGGGGGCATTCTTCTCTCCCTGACTCGGGCCAGGTGTCTTTTCCCAGGATGTCCCTTCCCCATAGGAAGGGCTGTCCCCACACTGTTGAACACCCCAGGGCCTTTGTGGGCATTCAGGGATATTGGCTCTGGGAAAGCAAATTTCCCCAGGCCGAAGGAGGAGATTTTTCATTCAGCCATTGCTTTTTGGAGGGGTGCAGAATGAGGCTGCCCAAATTGCAGGTGAATCAAGTTAATCCATTCCACAAAGAGAGGCTCTTATAATACAGCCTCTACTGCACGAAGGCTTAACTCCCTTTAAAGTGTCAACAACTCTTAGACAAGGAGGTATGATGTGCTTATCAGAGGCCTTTTCTCAGAAAAATTTATTGTCCGAGAGATGCCATAAAAGATTTCTCAGACTCTGGATCCCTCTTGCCTCCTAAGCCCCTTTTCTAGCTCTTTCAATAAGAAATTACCTTTCAGGTTTTGTCTACTTTTTATTTCGTGTGGCTTTTTTTTTTAATTTTTTTATTTTGGTGCTTCATTGTATAACAAGAACTTCGCATCAATTGGAGCGTCAAAAGATTACACAGTGATTTGTCATTCTCTTGCCTAATAAAAGCGTCAGATATTCCTAAAAGGTTGGTGGTTGCTTTCTCTGGATCAACCCGGAGGCCCTGAGCTGCCTGAGTGTGGGAGGAAGGTTGCCCATTAGCTACTGCTTGGGAGGGGCTTGTTACCTAGCTTCCTCACTAAGGGCTTGGGCTCTAGCTCCTAGTCAGTGGCCAGAGGGACAAGGACATGGATTGTGGAGTCTTTGGCAACAATGTAAGGCTGAAACACTTTTACGCTGCTTTTAGATGGTGCTTTTGGGACGTGAACAAAAGTTGTCTGAAAAGACAATTTGGATGAAAGGGACTTTATTTCAGTGACGTTTACAAACTGAGGAGACGCAGCCTCCCATCAAAATGAAGGTGTGTTCCAGAGAACAAAGGGAAGGCTCAGGTTTTATAGCAAAATTTCTCACCAGGTTCCCAATCAGGTCCATTTATGCAAATGAAGAATTGACAGTTCTGCTTGGTTGGTGTAGCTGAATTCTGATTGGTCAATACAGCTGAGCCCTCACTGGCCAAGGCAGGTGAGCTCTGATTGGTTGGTTCAGGTGTTTTTTCTTTTTCTTTTTTTAATTTTTATTTTCAGTAGTGAAGCTTGCAAGGTGAGTTTTGAAAGTCCCAAAGTGAAACAGAGGTGTGAATTTTCCAGGGACTTGGAGTACGTGTGTGACCCCTAGACAGCAAACGACCACTTGGCTGTATTTTAAATCTAGGCCCTGTGGAATCCACCGTGAGGGACTGACCCTTTCACATTCACATTTGTTCCCGGGGAAACTGTTTAGTTTCCCCATAGGCCTCCTGTCTGTGAGAGGAAGCCCATTTGTATACAGCTAGATTAATTTCAGAATTTCTTGTAACATAAATAAAAAATAGAGCATATAATATTGTAGTGGGGAAGAATATTTCTTTGTAGGAGAAGAAATGAAGTAGTCAGGTTTTGAGAGATGGTAGGGTTCTTGCCCTGATCCTGAGGGACTTTGAATTTTAATCCTCAGGTCAGTTTGCTGGGCTGTGTTGTGTTTGTGACGTAGTGTTTGGAGCAAGGATGTCTCGCTGCCCTGAGAACCCCTAGCTTTCTCCTGAGTATTCCAGGGACAAACTGATACAGGAGGGGAACTTCTCTCTAACGATTCAGTTTTGCTCCTGCTAAAACTCAAATTGGGCCTGTTTTTAAATCAGAAGTTCTGTTCTATTGGCCAGAAGCCTTAGTAGCAATATAATGTGAGCCACATATGTCATTTAAAATTTTTCTAGTAGCCATATTAAAAAGTAAAAAGAAACAGGTGAAATTAATTTTAGTAATAGATTTTGTTTAACCCAAATATGTCCAAAATATTATGTGGACATGCAATCCATACAAAAATATTAATGAGATATTTTACATTTTTTTTGCATTCAGTCTTCAAAATCCAGTGTGTATTTTACACTTAGAGCACATTTCTATTCAGATGCTAGATTTTCATTGGCAATACTTGATCTGTATTTAGAGTTCATAAAATTGAGTGTTGAAAACGCAGATTCACACACCCAAAGTGTTCCAACTATACTTAAAAGTTTTCCAATAACTGACTGAGCTATTAGTTTTTAATTTTAAATTCATTAAAATGAAATAAAATTCAACGTTCATATTCTCAGTTGTGGTAGCCAGGGTGTGAAGCCTCCCTGGCCGCATGCGGCCGGTGACCTCTGGATGGAACAAGGTGGATGGAGGGCATCATTCCACAAACCACATGAAGGAAACTCATGACTTGAGTTAGGAGGTCAGGCTGTGGGCAGTGGTACCCAGGCCTTCCCCGCCTCTGGATCTGGCTGCAGTTCTGAGCTCATGCTTTGCTGCCCGCTACTCCGTGCGTGTTTAGGATGCCAGGCCTCTGCTCTTGAGGCTTTCATTCTACTTCTCTCAGTCATTAATTCACACATTTAATCAAATCAGTTGAGGGCTTAACTACGAGCCAGGTGGATATTGTGGTGAGTTGAGCAAAAGAATCTAGGCCCCTGCTCTTTGAGGAACTTAGTTAATTTGAAACACTGCGGGCAGCTAGACAATAGGTAAACAAGCAGGATCATTTCAGATGATGGTGACTGCAATGATAATTGCAGGGATAATACCTAGAGACAATCCAGTGGGTGAAACTTTTAGAGCAGGGGCAGAGAGGTCTTTCTCAGGATAGGTCAGTGGAGCTGAGACCGGGAGACTGTGGGCCAAGTAGAGATTCAGAAGAACAAGCATGCCTGTCAGTGAGGGCTCAGTGCACAGGCCCTAGGATGTTTGCAATCCAGGAGGCCCGTGTGGCAGGAGCTTGGCAGAAGATATCTGTGCAGGAAGTGATGTCTTTAGTGGTTGGTGAGCCCTCCAACCATGGGAAGCAGAATGGAGTGGTGCTTACCCCCTCTGGCTTCAGATGTGGTTGCCTTTGCTCAAACCCCAGTCGCACCCACTAGCCTTGGGCTATTACTTATCATCTCTGGGCCTCTGATTTCACATCTGTAAAATGAGGGTAATAACCCTGTCTATAGATTTGTTGTGAAGATTCAACATGTTATTACATGTAAAACACCTGGCAAATTGGAGGTGCATGGAAATGTTAGTTACCGTTATGGTTCACTTATCAACTATGCCAAGCTCAGCACTGGGCTCTCCTAATTCTGGGATGGAGATGGGTACATGAAGGAGAATGAGTGGTGGTCGAGTTTTTGGTTCCTGTGCTGACCACGCATGTTTGCAGCACCCTCTCCCCCATGACAGCTGCCCCACAGGAAGTACTGCAGGAGAGGCACTGAGGGAGCACGGGGCATGTGGGTAGGACACCGCCACCTGAGTTCTCCTGAGTTCCTGACTCAGCTTGGCCCATGCACCAGGTGCGGGGGATAATGGAGAGCCCAGTTGGGCAGGTGGACCAGCTCTGCTCAGCCCCAGCTCATTCAGTTCCTCTCCATCACTTGTTTGTTGACAGGTTATCATGGCAACAGAGGAGGCACAGAAATGAAACAGAACCGCATGAAACGGAACAATCTGGACTTTGATTTAACATTGATTATAATTCTGCTCTCTGTCTCTCATGTCTCTTCCAAGTCCTGGCTCTTTTCTTCAGTCTTGGGATATCTTTTTGTCTCTTGCCTCAGAGAATCAGATGACTTAAAAATAAACTCACCCCTGAACTTCAGAAAAACAGTGATTTATTTTTCCCACATAGAATGCATGTTGAGGGAAGACCTGCTCTCCTGGGAATTGGGGAATTAGAGGGCCTTGCAATTCAACAGCCGCTCCTACAGGGCTGGTGGGGGAGGGCTGTGAAGATCACATATTGTCATCATCACTTTGTTTTTAAAACCCCCATCCAGGCTCCGCAGTGTTCAGCATTTCCAGTCGAGCATTCAAAATGTCTCATAGTTGAGGAAGGAGGCCTAGTGAAGAGTTTTTTCCAGGATTTTAATTACCAGTGTGTGTAACATGCAGAACTTTTATTGGGCACCCAGCCAAGCATGGGGCTGGAGAGGGGTAGGCTCATTTCCAGCCTGGAGCTCTCCAGCCTGCATGGCTCAGGTGGGTGTTGGCCCACACAGACTCAAAAACTGATGCTGGTCTGAGGAACAGAAGCAAAGAGACCCCACCTCATGCGAAGATATAACTGGTGCACCCGTTCACCTATTCATTTGTTAAACACATATTTATGGGATACTGCTGTGGTCTGAATGTTTATGTTGTCCCCAGATTCATATATGGAACTCCACCCCAGCATAATTATTAGGAGGTAGAGCCTTTGGGAGGGGATTAGCCCATGGGGGTGGAGCCCTCATGAATGGAATTAGTGCCCTTATAAAACTAGGCTTCCAAGACACTCCTCACCCCTTCCACCATGCGAGGACATGGTGTGAAGAGGGCTGTCTCTGAGGGAGCAGACCCTCACAAGACCTGGAATCTGCCAATAACTTGCTCTTGGGCTTCCCGGCCTTCAAAACAGTGAGAAATAAATGCGTGTTGTTAATAAGTCACCTCTTCTGTGGTATTTGGTGATAGCAGCCTGAACGGACATGCCTACTACTGCTGGGCACTGGTTAGACCCTGAAGAAAGAGTAAGAGACACAGTTTCCTATTCTGCATGGGTTCTGCACTTGAGTTGGGAAAATAAATAGGATAATAAGAAATGTGTACAGGATATTAAATATTGATATGGGCTACGGTGAAAAACAAAACAAGGTGGTAATGGGGAGTATTGGGCATGTGTGTGAGATTTTATTTTATTTCATTATTTTTTTTTTGAGACAGGGTCTTGCTCTGTCACCCAGGCTGGAGTGCAGTGGCATAATCACGGCTTACTGCAGCCAGCCTTGACCTGATGGGCTCAAGCAATCCTCCTACCTCAGTCTCCCGAGTAGCGGAGAATACAGGCATGCACCACCACACCCGGCTGGCTGGTGGGTAGTTAGTGGTAGTGGTGCAAAGTCATGAGATTTTGGATGTAATTTGAAGGTTGAACTGGTACCATTTGTGGTGGGATTTGATGTGGGGTTAGGAGAGAGAGGAGTCAAGGATGATTCCAGGACTTTTGGCTTGGATATTAGTCAGGGTTCTCCAGAGAAACAGAACCAATAATATATGTGTGTGTATGTGTACATACATGTAGAGACAGAGAGGGAAGGAGATTATTTTAAGGAATTGGGTCACATGATTGTAGAGGCTGCTGACAAGTCCAAAATCTATAGAGTGGGCCATCAGGCTAAAGACCCAGGGAAAAGCCAGTGTGTAGTCCGAGGCCATCTGTTGGAGAATTCCCTCTTGCTTGGGGGAAGTCAGTCTTTTGTTCTGTTCAGGCCTTCAACTGATTGGATGAGACCCACACTTATGGAGGCCAATCTTCTTTACTCGAAGTCTACTGATTTAAATATTCATCTCGTCCAATAAAAAGAAAAGAAAACTTCCTCATAGGAACATCCAGAATAACGTTTGATGAACTATCTAGGCACTGTGGCCCAGCCAAGTTGACACATCAAATTCACTATCATAGCTTGGCAACTAGAAGAATGGATTTGCTATTGACTGAGAAGGGGAGGGCTTTAGTGACTCAGGTTTGGCTGGGTGGTCAGGAGTTTGGTTTGGGGCATGTTAAGTTTGAGACGTTGTTAGACATCTGGATGGAGATGCCAATAGGCAGCTATGTAATGGGCCTGGATTTCAGTGACAAGGACCAAGCAGGGGATAGATGGTTGGAAGTCATAAGCCCTCAGAGATGGCATTTAAAGCTACAAGAAGAGGGAATGAGAACCCAGAGGAAGGAAGCACAGAGGGAACCATTCTTATGGGCTCTTTTCTTATCAGGAAATCTGTGCCCAAGGTGGCTCTCCACCTGCCTGGTCAGAGGACTACTGTGCTGCTTTGGCCTTTGGGCTTCTTGCATTGAGCTCTGCCAGAAAAAAACAAAACAAAAAACCCAACCGAAGGGGCCAAGTTAGTTCTGGAATCACTTGTAGGGGTGGGGTGAGTGGAGCTCTAAGAACATGCACTGCAGTCTGATGTGTTTCAGGCTTCCCCTCTGATGTTCTGGTGGTTCTCAGTGTCATGTATTCATTCTCTCAACACCCTCTTACTGAGTACCAGCTCTGCTTCATGTTTGGTATCTTCCGGAAACACACACAACAGGCACTGTCTGATGGGGCAGACACAGACATGCGAGTGAAGCTGTGTGGCAAGTGCCCTGGGAGTGGGAAAGCCAGGGGTGGGGTCCAGAGGAAGGACAGCTCGCTCGCAGTCTTCTGGCTTGGAATCCAGCCCCTTCTTTGCAGCTAGTATCTTTTGCAAGATGCTGTCAACCTCCATCCACCCAATGTCATTGCCTCTTTTCCTGAGTGTTTGTCTACCTTCTGGCTGGGCACCTGGACTCTCCTGCACACCCACCTTCTTGGCCCTTGGCTCATCTGCTGTTATTTGGCCTGCTTGGATTGTCATACCCCAGGTCCAGGGCCATTCTCATGGGCCCAAGCCCGATTTCTTTCTTTGCATTTAGCGAGTTGTCATTTTTCCCTCCCTTTGCATAGGGATTCAACTCCTGCAATCAACTCCAGGGTTGTTAGCTTAGCTAGGACACAGCCCCGGCCTGGAATAATATCATTGAAGGCAATTTGGAAGTTTCCATCATGTTTCAATAACCTCATGAGCTGTTTTATGGGCAGACCTTTTGCGGGGAGGCAAAGGCATGGATGGCAGAGACTTTGAGATGCTCTGGCCCTTATCTCAGGTCCATCCCTTCTTACTCCTCAGTGTCTCTGCCTGTCTGGCCCAAAGCCTTGAGCTAACTCTCCAAACCTGGCAAAGCTGGAAGCTTTGTCACCACTTTCAAATGTTCTGTCCCATGGCTGGGTGCCAGCACCACACAACCCAGGCATTTTTATCCCTGAATGCCCACGTCCTCCCTCCTGGTCCGGATTGTAATCTTGCCTACATTTCAAGGGTAATTTCATCCATCTGGCCCTGATTCGGGCATCCCAAGTGTGCCTGATGAAGACTCAGGTGCCAAGATTTCTCAAACTGGTTCCAAGCAAACCCCAAGCGGGCCCCAAGGCAGAGGTTCCTCTGTATTTTCTGGGTAAGATGCTCTCTGCCCACCAGAGCATGCAGTGTTCTCTTACGGAGAAGTCAAGGGAGACCTAATTGCTGTAAACGCTGTCTCTTGGAAGAGGTTCCCAGGCAGAGAGAGCTGGGCTCACAGGCCAAGTATGGGAGCTTGAATCACAGGGGCTTGGCTGGGAAGGGGCACATGAGACAGAGGGGATTGGGGGGAGCATGCTGGGCTGGCTGGTGCCTGGCCTCCACCTTACTAAGCCTCTTGGTGTGATGTCCCTTCTTCTGGCCTTGCTGCTCTTCAGCACATAGTCCCTCATGCTGGTCCCCTAGGGCAGGGGATCTGCATCGAGATAGAAACTGGAGAGGGGGAACCAGGAAGGGCAAGAAACGAGAGCCCTACATGGAGGAGGGCCCAACCCAGACTCCAGGAATTTGCCTGTTGCCAGAGAAGCTGCTGAAGGCCTTTGCTGGTGGGACAGGCACTTGCTGTGCCCAGCTTCCAGGTACTCCTGGACAAGCCTTTCTCCCTGCCACCCTTTGCACCTGAATTCAGCGATCAGCTGCGGGGTAGCTCACTGGCGACCTCACGCTCAGGTGGAGCTTTCCCCGGCCAAACCCTGGGGACTCTGGAAAGCATCCTTGTTATGTTGGCTCACAATCGCTCCCTCCTTGAGCAACCTGGGCCCCCAGGGAATCCAAGTTCTGGGTGGTCCTGAGTTCTCAAATGAAATGCTATTCTAATGATGCCAAGCCAAGTGGCAGAGACACGAGGCCAAGGTGGGGCTCACAGGATGGCATATCTAGATAACAGGATTGGACCCTCAGGTACTGAAAGAGTAAAATGCGCTGGGATTGGCGGGAAGCATAGCCTATCAGAATCATTGATGAGCTAGCATTTTAAAAGCTGCAATTTGGATATAAATTTGAGTGGATCTGCGAATTGCTTCCTAAACGTGGAAGGAGAGTGATGGAGGAGGAAGAATTGTTTTCATGAAGTGGAAAGAATTTAAATTATTATACTTTGTACAGGCCTCGAAAGTGTTTGAATACGTTGGTTTTCTCCCGTTAGTGAATATTATTTGCTGGCTTGTTTGCACATTTAAAAAAATAGCATATTAAGTAATTTTAGTGTTCACTGTGCAGTTTGAATTCTGACCTAACTTTGGAGGAATAACTTATATCCTTTGGAAGAATCTGTCTATACACACAGATAATGGCTATGCTCATTGGCATGATTTGGTATGTCCAGTACAGACCCTCCCCTTTCATTTCTGAATCCCACCCTTCCACATTACCTACCCATATTGATAAAGCTTCATCCACTCAACTTGCCCAAGTGTGGTTTAGTTTTGAAATATAAAAGGGCTGTTGTTCTTAACATGGCAAATTTAGATTAAAATTTAGACATGTTAGTAGTCCTGAAGTGTGTTCTTCCAGCTGGCCTGTACAATTTCTTATGGACTGGGATAGAAACGCATTGGGAGAGTCAAGAATATGGGCTCCACAGGCAGGTACCGCATCTGTCCCATTCTCCACTGTACCCAAACACCCAGCATTCCCTGGGACTCATATCCTGTCGAGCCAACATGCCAGAGCATAGCCACTTCCCTCCCAGGGTACAGCATCAACTGATCCCAAGGCTTGGCCTGAGAAGTGCCCCTTCTCCTTGGGGCCTGGGGCCCAGTCTGCCACCCAGCCCCTTGGGGGAAGGCTTTGGACTTGTTATGTTTGAGATGCCTGTTAAGTATTCACTGGGAGATGCCAAGTAGGCCATTGGATCTATGGGTCTGGGAGAGGTAATTTTAAATTGGCACATACGTGGTTTCTAAAGCCCCATGAGACAATTGGAAATCACCCAGGGACAGAGTGTTGGGAAAGAAAAGAAGAGACATGAGTTGCTTGGCTCAGGAGACTCCTATATAAACTCTGGAGAAATGAAAGGAACCAGCTGAGGAGTGCTTTTGAGGCAGGAGGAGAACCAGGAGAGTGTTGAGGACATTCAGAGAAAGCGCTGAGAATTAGCCTCTCAGGGCTGCCACAACCAAGTAAGACAACTGAGTGACTTAAATAACAGAAATTTATTTCTCATAGTTCTGGGGCTAGGAGTCCAAGGTCAAGGTATCAGCATGGTTGGCCTCTTCTGGAGACTGGAGGGCCTCTGCCCCAGCTTCTGGGGGTTTGCAGGAAGTCTTCAGTGTCCTTGGCTTCAGCTGCATCACCCTGCTCTCTGCCTTCATCCTCACATGATGTTCTTCTTAGGTTTGTGGCCCTGCAGCCAGATACCTCATTTTTATAAGGACATCCACCATATTGAATGAAAGACCCACCCTACTCCAGCATTACCCCGTCCTTACTAATTATACCTGCAGAAGAGCAGAATCAGTGGAAAGGAAAAGACCAGAAGGCACGAGCCACTATGGCATAGTGGGGCGAGAGTCTAGTTCTCCTCTCTGTGACTTTCCCTGCAGCCACTGCCTCTCTGAAGCTCTGATAGAAGGTTATAAGTCACTTTAAAACCAAAAACAATTTGCTAAAGAAATGCAGCACAGGGGCTGGGCATGGTGGCTCACATCTGTAATACTAGCACTTTGGGAGGCCAAGGCAGGAGGATCGCTTGAGCCCAAGAGTTTGAGACCAGCCTGGCAACATGGTGAAACCCTGTCTCTACAAAAAGTACAAAAATTAGCCAGGTGTGGTGGTGCATGCCTGTAGTCCCAGCTATTCAGGAGGCTAAAGTGGGAGGATCACTTGAGCTGTGGAGGTTGAGGTTGCGGTGAGCCATGATCGCACCACTGTGCCCCAGCCTGGGTGACAGAGCCAGACCCTGTCTCAAAAAACAAACAACAACAACAAAACAAATAAAAACGCAGGGACACAATGTGTAATGGTATAATGGTATTATTGGTGGTTTTTATCTTAATGGCAAAGTTCTGGGGGTTGGAAATTTGGAAATAATGTCACTGAGTGCCAACTTGGGGTAGTGTTACTGGGGTTTGGGTCCAGGCTTATTACCTCTCAAAGAACTGTACTACTAATGTTGCATTTTATATAGAAGTAAGGGACAATTGAAGGAGGCATTAGGGTCTCTGAAAAACCCTTAAAATTCTGCCATTCTGTCCTCTCTCAGTTAGAGTCAGCCTTCCTTGGGCTTCTGTGCATTGCCTCCAAAACACCAGAGATTGTTTCTGAGACAGTGGGCCTCAGAGCTCCCCCCTACCCCATTCCCTTCTTAGCTATCCAAGCCCCCATGCCCATGCTACCTTACCCAGCTGGTCACTCTGGGCAGGCTGCCCATGGGCCAAGGATGACACTCATCTTTGGCTCTCCTAATGGAGGCTCCAAATAAGTGAGCCAGGGAAGCATTCTGAGGCCAACAAAACTTTTACCCTTCCTTTGATATGTCAGGCCCTAGGGGTCCTTTTATAAGCCTGTGGGTAATCTACAAGCCATGGAAATGCCTACCTGTGGATATGGGTGATTATCGGTTTTCAGATGAGTACTTTCTCTATGTAAGGGTGTTTGTTGTTGTTGTTGTTGTTATTGTTGTTTCTTTGTTTGTTTTGAACATTGAGCTCCACAAGGCTGGAGAGCTTGAAGAGCAATTGGATCCATTATCCCCTTAGGTCCTAGCTTCTAGGGGGAGGGGGAAATCATTACTTCTTCATCTCCAGCAGCTGGAGAAACTGGAAAGGGATTAGGGCAGGACCAGAAGAGCAGAAGAACATTCCTCGGACTCCAGGCACAGGACACTTTAAGAGTCCTTATGAAAGGTCTAGTTCCTATATCTGGGCTGCCCTGAGGGAGGGTAGCTATGGGGAGATCTGGGGAAGAAATGAAGCCCGGGGAGCTCCTCAAATCCAGAGATGACCAAACTCTCCTGCTTGAGCAGAGAGTTCCCCTGCAATAAGGTAGACTTGCATTTCTTTGAGCCAAAGAAACTGAGTGGAATAAGAGGCTTGCTCAGTGCTATTTTCATGGAAAGCTGAACTCTGAGACCAGATTGGAGGGTGGGTTTCCATCAAACGAGAGGACCCTGCACCCACCACAGATTGGCCGCTCCCAGGCTGGTCGCAGTCATTAACTGGAATCCTATTGGCTGGTTTAGGGGTGTTGCTAAGGAAGCCTTTAAGTGTGGGGTGAGAGGTCGGCAGAGTCTGGTAATGGGAGTTTGGTCCCCCACAAGTACTCAAAAGTTTTTGTAGAAATTCCCTTGCTCTGCCCTCTCAGTAGACGATTGCCCTATTTGTAGGCCCATCTGCTTTAAACTCTTACAGGAGCTGAAAGGTCAAATGTAGTTTTAAAAGGTTTTAGAAACCAGTGGAATTTCAGGGAGAAGTTCTTCCAAATGTGGTGAGAGGCTGTGTGCTTTACTGAATGGATGTTTATATCTTGTGGTGTGAATCAGAAATATGATCACCAATGCCCAAACCACTTCCTTGGCTAGTGGGTACCTACGTTTTCTGCCAGCTAGGGCACTGGATATAATCCTGTGACCCTATTTTGTGTTTGACCTCAGAATCTACCCTTTTCCCCTCGGGCTCTCCCTGAATTTTCCCACATTTTCTTCCTGGGAAGTTCCAGCCCTGTCCACTGGTTCGCTGAGACCCAGATGGCACATGGGCATGGATTGGCCATGGTCTAGGGGTGAGGGTGGGTCGCTTCCCTTGATCCCTGGCTCCAGGTCTGGCACACAGTGGGGGTTCAGAGTACTCATTCAAGTTGGTGGAAAGAACTGCAAAAGCCAAGGTGGGAGGAACAAAGTCTCCCCCTGACCTCAATTTGATTTCCTAAGGGGGCTCTGCAGTAAATTTGGTAATGCTCACTTGTCACAAAGATATCTCTTGGACGTTTTGACAGGGCAGGAGCTAAAGGAGACAAGGGTGGAGCAATGAGTACAGCCCAGGAGGATTAGAAGGATTCAATGCGGGCATATCAGAACCATGTTTGGCACTCGTGTCACAAGAGGGTTTCTTAAAGAAATGCAATCTGGGGTAAGAACTGGGTTTAAATTTGGGCTCCATTTTTTACCAGCTGTGGACTTGGTAAGTTGCTTAACCTTTCTGCACCTCAGATTTGCCGTCTACACAGTGAGACTAATCATCACTGACCTTCCTACCTCAAAAATCAGGTGCAGTGCTCGACAGGAGCTAATGAACATTTGTGAGTGCTTTGTGAACCCTTAAGTGCTGTGCATATGGAGGGATCATATAAATAGTCTAGGTTATTGTTGATACAAATATCTGGTTGGCCCACTAAGCTGTGGCCCCACTGTTGAGTTTTTTTGGGCATCAATTTCCTGTTCTCCCATCACCGCTTCTCTTCTCATCCCTGACCGTTTTTCATCTGTATTTCTCCCAACAGCTAAAATTAATTATTTGTGAAGGCTTCCCTAAGCCCCTCCAGAGTGTCAGTGGTGGGGAGAAGTAGGGGGTCAGGACACATTGCTTTCATCATGGAGCGAGGCAGGAGGGAAAAGACGGTGGCTGGATCAAATATCTGCCCCTCACATGCTGCCGGTGGGCAGTGATGCTGGTGTTTTGACACGTGTCAGGTGGTTTTGATTCTAACAATTGCTCACCAGAGCAGTGGGACTTGTTTGGATAAATCAGAACCAGCCTGAATCTGAACTCTTTCTTTCACTCAACAATGGAGTTTGCTCTTCTTTTGTCTCTTCCTAAGTTTCATGTTGCCTGTTCATGGGGCAGCGCACCTGAGCTCCAGGGAAGTGACCCTCATTCTCTTTCTCTCTGGATGATTAACTGGTCTTCCCTCTTCTCAGAGGGCACGTGGGGGTAGAACAGGTTTTGTGTAGGTGCAGGGTGAAGATGCCGTTTCCACCTGTGGCCTCTGTGTGCCAGCACCATTTCTGCATCAGAGCAGAAGCCATTTGGAAAGTGATGAATTTTCCGTATCTCCTTCCCTCCCTCCTCTTTCTTCCTGGAACAGCTTTGTAAATGGATCCCACAAACTAACATTACTAGAGACTTTTAAGGAGGGCATTAGAGATATCAGTGGGCTTAAAAACTAGCAACAGAGGAGTTTGGGTCAGATACAGACCTTGTGGGGCCCATGGGTTCCAAGCAGAGCAATTGCTTGGGTCATGCTTGCTGATTGCGAGGCTCCAGAGAGGGCCTTCTTAGGAATTTTGAGACTGCAAAGTTATTTCTAGAAACCACTTTCTCAGGAGATACGGCCACCAGGGTACCCACAGAGCAGTTCTTATCACATTTGCCCATTCAGTGAACAACCAGTAATTGAGCTCCTACTTTTTGACAAGCCCTGGGGCAACAGAGATGAATGGGTCTTGGTTCGAAGATACAGGAAAGTTTATCCTCTAGCAAAAGAGATTAAAAGGTAAACAGGTCTTTTTGATATAAGGTGATTAGTTGGGATGGAGGCAGGCCCAGGAATGTGGCAGGACAGAGGAAATATATTTCTGTGATGTGGGGCAGTCTTGGAAGGCTTCCTGGAGGAGGCAGAGAGAGAGAAAGAGAGAGAGAGCGAGCGAGCTCATGTGTGAAAGATGAATTGGCATGAATAGGAAAGGCCGCAGCAAAGGGTTGCTGAAGGGTAGCCAACTTATATGGTTTGAATGTGTGTCCTCACCAAATCTTATGTGGAATTGTAATCCCTGATGTTGGAGATGGGGCCTGGTGGGAGGTGACTGGGTCATGGGGGTGGATCTCTCATGGCTTGGGGCTAAAGGAGAGAAGGGCTGTCTTCTCAATAAGTGAATTATTACCATGTAATATGCAAGCACCTGCTTCGCCTTTTGCCATTGAGTAAAAGCTCCTTGAGGCCTCCCCAGAAGCCAAGCAGATGCCAACACCATGCTTCTTGTACAGCCTGCAGAACTGTGAGCCAATGAAACCTCTTTTCTTTATAAATTACCCAATCTCAGGTATTTCTTTATAGCAATGCAATAATGGCCTAACAAACCAACTACCCAGATTCACTGGGGCTTAGAGTCTTCCCAGGATGTGGGACTCTCAGTGCTAAAACTGAGATAGTTTTGGGCAAATTAAGATGGTAGGTCACCCTAGGTAGTAGAAGGGTCACAACTTTTACAGTTGGAAAGACCTGGATTCAAATCTCTGCTCTGCTACTTAAAAGCTGTACGACCCTAGGTAAATTGTTGAACCACTTTGAACCCTAATTTCCTTACCTAGAGGATATACAGGCCACCTTCTTAGGACTCTGCCTAGGTCAGTGTTATCAGTAAAAGGAAGTTATTATTTTAGATGGAAAAAGCAGTATTTTCAAACGCTAGGCAGAATATAGTTGGAGTAGAGCACAAAGAAGTGGGCGGTAAGAAGTTGGCTGGAAATAGAAGCAGGGGCCAGATCATGAGGAATTTAGAATGTTTTCCCTTAGAACAATGGTGGTTCACTAACTTAACTTTACAATATGAGTAAGGCAGTCAGATTCTTGTCTTAGAGAGATTGTCCTGGAAGTAGAGGGGAGCACATTTTTGAATCTGGAGGGAGAAGAGAGGGTAAGAATGATGCAGTAAAGTGATTACAAACAGGGAGTTATATTCTTAGAGAAAACAAGAGGCCACCAGCCAGCCCAGGATCACATCAGGGGCCCCAGTGGTTAAAAGGGACAGGAACCTCATCTTCTGAGGTCAGAGGCTGCTTGTTGGGTGCAGCTACATGCTGAGCTGGGTTGGAAGGTTATGTGCTTACCAAACAGATCTGACACCTGGGAAACTGTGTGCATGAGGATGACTTCATGAGCTCCTTGAGATATGTTTTGGGTCCTTTGGTTAATGGGCGTGTCCTTCCTCTCTTCTCTTCTTCCTTGGCTTCATCCTGCATGGGAGGCTTCTTGCCAGTGCTTTGTCGCTCATCATCTCCATGGCGATGGAACAATGGTATGGTAAACACATGACCTCACTGTGTAATTATGCAAAAGAGTGAGCAGAGAAAGGAAGCTTGGGGTTTGATGAGTCTAGTTAGGGAGGGAAATCTTCTGAATCAGATGCCTGTGAAGTGGGCCCTGGCCTTGGAAGAGGAAGAGGATGTGCTAGCCCCCCAGTTGAAATAACTTGGATCAGACTGCTCTTTGGAATCAGGAAGGACTTTCTGTAGATAATGATAAGCAGAAGAAGTTATAAAAGAGAACTGACTGGGTTGGCTAACCTCATACAAATAAGTTGTTTTTTGCATGTAAATGAAATAAATGAAAAGACAACAAATTTGAGAGATTCTTTAAGAATCTTTAAGAAGACTTTTTTTGAAAGCAAATTATAGTAATTAAAGAAAAAAAACCCTAGTAGAAAATGTGACAAAGGATATAATCAGAAAATTTATAATGGAAAAAAGTTTCATTCATTCATTCATCTTTTCAATAATGTATTGAGCCCTTCCTATGCAGCAAGTGTTACTCTATGTGCTGGAGATACAGCGATAAACAAAACAGGCAAAAATCCCTGCCCTCATGAAGTTTCCATACTTTCTGCTATTTTTCTTTATGTTTTCTTAATTAGTTTTTTTCTTAATTAGTTTTATTAACATCAATTCTAGATACTTTCTTTATTCATCTGGAATTATGCTCACATAAAATTGAGTTCAGAATTTATTCTCCCCCTCAAAATAAACCATTTACTTTAGTTAATGCTTTAACCATTAATTCTTCCTCTCCTCCCTGATGAATAATGCTCCTTTTATGAAATAATACATTTATTTTATAAAATAATGAATCTCTCTATTCATATGTTTGGAGCTGTATAGCCTGTCGAGTGATTTAATTCACAACTCTGATTGCAGCTCCCTACTGTTTTTATTATTGTGGCTTTGTACCATGTCAGATGCCATAAGTTTACATGATTGGGAATAACCGTGACAAAAGTGACTTGAACACCGTATTGGTGTCTTTCTCCATGAGATGGCACTCACAGTCTTATTTCCTACCTTTATGAATAATTAGTGATTTTTGAACAGTCCCAGAACAAAGAAAACTTAAGTTTCACAATTTCCAAAGCTGACATCAAGTACTCTCATGCTTCATATTCTGTCATGTTTCTAAAGCTTGCATATTTTCCTCTCTCTGGGACATTAGATCTTTACACGTGGACATGGCTGGGTGGGGCTGTGCTCCTCTGTGTTCTTGAATGCTTCCAGCATGAGGGTGTACAGTACCTGTTAGAGCAGTCCTGCAGGCCTTGCTCTTCCCCTCCTGTCGTATACAATTCTTCTTTTCAAAAAGTATTTGAGAAAGAATTTGAAAAAAAAAAAACTTAATGTTTCTACAGGGAACATGATATTTCTTCAAGTCTGCTTGTATGTCTCACAATAAATTTTAAATAATCTTTTTAATAGAACTGGTGTGTTTTTTCATGAAGATTATTTTTAGGTTTATTATTAATATTGTTATTTCACTTTAAATATAATCTTTTCCCCCCACCTGTATTTTTAAACTAGCTACTTCTGGTATATAATCATCTATAGATGCGTATATTTTTAACTTATTGCCCACCTTACTAAAATCCTATTAGTTCTGGTAGTTTTCTCTTGAATTTTTTTTTTTTTTGGCAGACTAGGATATTGTCTATAAATAATGATATTTTGATTTCCTGACTTTTAAAAAATATTACTTTTCTGTTTCAGGTTATTGACTAGAAATAGAAACTATATAATCATGGTAGGGCTAGAAGTCTTACTTGCTTTGTTTCTAATTTTGGTAGACATGTACCTATTGTTTCGCCATGAACAGGAAGTTGATTACAAGTGTAAAATCCTGTCTTCCTGTTTGCTACGTTTTTTTTTCTAATCCACATAATGTATTACATTAAAAAATCTGTATCTTTAGATCTATTAGGATGATCTTATGGCTTTTGTTCTGTGACAGATTGATGTAGACTATTACATACTTCCATATCTAAAGTCATCATTGAATTCCAGGGATAAATACAATATTAGTCATATTAAATTATTCTTTGAATATCTCCTGAATTTATTAGTTTTTCATTTGGGATTTTGCTATACTCTATCCTTGAGCATATATTTTTGCTATACTATATATTTGAGTATATGGTATTATATACTATAGTATATAACATATAGCATATATATAGTATTAGTATATACCCTAGTATTAGCATAATTTTTCATTTGGGATTTTTGCCATACTATATACTCAAGTATGCAGTATATGTTAATACTTGAGGAATACATTTTTTCTATATTATATACTTGAATATAAGTATATAGCATACTCCAGTACATGGTATAGCAAAAATCTCAAATGAAAAATGAATACATAATTAACATTGGTCTGTGTGTGTATTACTTATACATCATATAATGTTATATATGTATTCATTTGTATATTATCTTTGCCAGGTTTTGTCATGAAATTATCCCTTAAAAAAGAGATTGGAAAGCTTTCCATCTTTTTTCTCTGCTCTATAACAATCTGAAAGCACTCATTCGTAAAACTGTCTGAGCTCAGAGCCTTTTGTAGAGATAATTTGTCCACAATTTTTCTCAGCATGGTTAATAGTTCTTGAGTCAATCTTTCATCTTCCTAGAAAATTGTCTATTTTATCAAGATGTTCATGGCAATAAACATAGCTGCTCCTACAGAGCACTCTGGCCATGGACTTTAATTAAGTTTATCCTGATTTTCTTTGGAGCAGCTGAGGCAGGCTAGACAGTTCTAAAGACAGTAATGGATTACTAAAGGAGAACAGGGAAAAATAGCATAGAAAATTCAACAAGCCATGGCTCCTCCTGCATCACATTCTCCGAGTTCATAGTCTCTGATCCGTAACATCTACCTTCTAGTCCTAAAGGGCTATTAGTTTTTCAGACATCTTGCCAGAAGTTTTTATTTTCTAGTTCTGGGCAAACTCCAACCAGAAGATTCTGTTTTAATATTGAAATTCCCTCTTAGACATTTCAAAGTTCTTGTGGCCAAGGCCACACGTGTGAAAGGCACTCTGAGCCTGCCCTTGGCCCTCTTTCCTTCCTTCCTGGTGTCCAGTGTGAGGGTGCCCCTCTCTCCATAGGCAAAAACAGGCCCTCATACCTGGGGGTGGCATTGTCCCAGCCTAGACTCAATCCTATTACTTTTCATTTAGCCACATAATAAACATAGTAATGGGAATACTGTTTACTTCACAACAAGGGAGAATGAAAATATATTTATAAAATCAACTGTTGCCCACCCCTAAAAAAATACATCTTGATTGAGAACTCTAAAAATATTTCAATCCAGTTTATGCACAAAGGAGACAAGTGTTTCGGATTATCAGGATGAACCCATAGAGTTTGGAAGACAAACAATTCTAGTTTATGGTCAACATTCAGCCTCTCCAACCTCCAAAAAAGATCTTTGTCATTCAGGTACCAGTTCATACCACCTAAACTTGGACAGATGGATAATGAAGGTGTTCAGAGCTAGACAGGCTGTAAAACCCTGGTTGAAACACAAGTTTTGCTCAGGAACTAGCAGAGGGAGAGCTAAGCTGTGGACCTGACCCTCATATGGTCAGCCCCTGTTGACAGGAACTCACAGAAAACACAATCAAGAAGGCCAGGTTCAGGCAGCTTACTAGTGTTACTGCAGTGCTGTGGATGTGTCTTCAGGAGGAGTCCACTTTCAGTGCCTGGTCTTCACTCTGAAGGTGAGCCTGGAGGTGTTTCTTCCCTTATTCCTTAATAAATGCTGCCCCTAAACGTTCAGGAATCCTGGAAGGTGGTGAAGAGTTTCAAATAGTCCAGTGATTGTTTTCAGACCCCCAAGCCACTGCTGAAAAGAGCTAGTCATGGCCCATGAGCTTGACTTCAAAAGGGAAGCTTGGGCCAGGCACAGTGGTTTCATGCCTGTAATCCTTTGGGAGGACGACGAGGGTGGATCACTTGAGGCCAGGAGTTCAAGACAAGCCTGGCCAGCATAGTGAAACCCTGTCTCTGATAAAAATACAAAAAATTAATTGGGTGTGGTGGCATGCACCTGTAATCCCAGCTCCTCAGGAGGCTGAGGTATATGAATCTCTTGAACCCAGGAGGCAGAGGTTGCAGTGAGCCGAGATGGTGCCACTGCACTCCAACCTAAGCCACAGAGCCAGACTGTCTCAAAAATAATAAAAAAGAAAGCTTGATCTTCTCATTCCGATTGTACACTCTTTGTAGCAAGGACTGTGACTTCTCTTTCTACCCTGGTCCCTTAAACTACATTTGTCAATGTTCATTACTGTGGATAAAATTCCAAACCAGCACAGATTTGTTTGGGGAAACAAATTCAGTGACGCAGTAGAAGCCTGAAATGAAATCTGACCCTGGGGCTGCTGCCTCTCTGGAATGACTATTTTTCTCCATGCTCCACCTATCCTTCAATGGCCGGCTCAAGTTTTAGCCTCCCCAGAAAGTCACATCTGATTACCTGGTCTAAAGGGATCTCCTCTCTCCTTAACCTTCCGGAGCACTGACTTCATGCAGTATCTCTGAATCTCACTCACTCAGCAAATACTACAAATACAACAATACGATACTAGTAAATGTTGAGCTAGTGATGAAAAATGGAATTAAGATTTACCACTTATGAAGGCAGCCTGACTTTCAGCAGGAGGTTTCGGGGTTCAGGGGCAAGTCTGGACTACAGTAGATCTCCTCCTTCCCCCTTCATTTTCCTTTCATGCCCTCTCAAATGGCGCTAGGTTATATTAAGCTGATTTCTGGTGCCAGCCAAGGAAGACCCACTGTGCACTCTCGGGTCACTGTGGGCTTATGCAGGGTTTGTGGAGATAGCCATCTCTGGACAGAGTTGGGAAATCAAGGCCTGTGTGTCTAGCACTTATATTCAAACTTGATATGTGTAGGGCAGAGTTCCATGGGGAATTATCTGTGTGTTTGCTCAGCTCAGGCAGTTCAGTGCATCCCAACTTGTTTCCCCAGGACTCAGTGTTTTATGACCAAACCAGCCCTGGGTGGAGGCTCAGCCACCACCTCCTATGTGACCTTGATCAATCTCTTCCTTTTATTGGGCCTCCCTGTGCCTGTCTGAAAAACAGGATGTTGGACTCAACAATCTGAGGCTCTTTCCATTCTGATGTTCTGTGACTCATATTTGGGCTGGCTAGGTAGAAGGACAAGACACTAGGTGCATTAGCTTGCTAGGGCTGCCATAACAAAGTACCACAGACTGGATGGCTTCAAGAATAGAAATGTATTTTTTCATGATTCTGGAGGTTAGAATTCCAAGATCAAGGGGTCAGCAGGTTTAATTTCATTCTGAGCCTTCTCTCTTTGGCTTGAAGGTAGCTGTCTTCTTCCTGTGTCTTTACATGGACTTTTCCTTGTACGTGTGCATGTCTGTGTCCAAATTTTCTCTTATTATAAGGACACCAGTCATATTGGACTAAGTCCCACTCTAAGGACCTCATTTTAACTTAACTGCCTCTTTCAAGACCTTATCTCCTAAATTCTGTCACATTCTGAGGTGCTGGGTGTTAGGACTTCAATATATGAATTGAGGGAGGGGGGAAACAATTCAGCCCATAGCACTAGGGCAGGGAGGGCCAGCAGTAAGCAGTGAAAACTTGGGTTTGAAGAAATATGTGTTTATTCATTTTAAGAATTATTAACAAGTAGCAGATTGACCTAGGCTTTGAACTGCTGTGTGGAAGTCTGTAGGGACATTCTTTAATGAATGGGTAGATTGATCTGTAGTTGGCATTACTGACATTCTCTCTACAAAAGATTAGATGGCAAGTTAAGTTCAGGAAAGAGTGAGTCCTTCGCTGTGTCTGGGGCTAAAGGTGCATCCGGGGCAAGATGAGACATAAAGATGAAAGAGTAGATTGAGGTCAGATTCTGGAAGACTTTAAATTGTAGATGAAGGAGTTTAGCCTTGTCCAGTAAGAGACAGAGATGGGTGAATAAAAGTTACCCAGGTATTTCCCTTTCTGGTGGAGGTGCCATTTGAAGGCAGGGTCTGGGTGAGGAGGAAGCACCCTGCTCTGGGACTTGAGTCTCTTACCGTGGAATTTCTAGGACTCTGGTGGGGAACCAGGGCAATGATAAAGGCCAGGACCTTCTGTACTCCTGCAGTTCCCCTGCTTTTGCAATGTTCTCTCTATGCCTATAAAATTTGGCCCTTGGAGTAAGTTTATACAGGGAAGTGTCTGGTAGAGGACCCAGGACTCTAGACCACAACACTAGAGCAGGGAGGGCCAGCAGTAAGTAGTGCTCATCTCATCTTAGAGAGCGGAAAACTAATGTTCAGAGGAGTAAAAAAAATTGCCCAACATTGTGCAGATGTGAAAGAACTAAGACAAGAACCCAGGCTTCCTGAGCATGAGCCCAGGGCTTCTACACAGTGGTAAGAAGATATAAGTGACATGCAGCAGAAGGGGTCTGGCCAAGGCAGAATGCTGTGAGATGCAGCAGGACACTGTTGAATTCATGATGCATTGCTTAGTTCAGACTGTAAATGTTCTCATACTGTTGAATGGGAACACTTAGCAGCAAACTCACAGATTGTGGTCTGCAGGGGCCCCTGTGTCCCATCATCCCCTGCACCTCCTCAGGTAATTGTGGGTGGAACGATGTGGTCTCAGAATTCTGGAGGAGCTGGTGGAGAGCACACCTCTTAGGACAGGCAGAGCTGCCTCCTAGATCTGATGACTTTTTAAGGACCCCTTCCTGTCCCCAGGCCTTGCTCCTTCCACTCAAGGATTAAGTGAGGCCCACCACAACACCATTGGGGTTGCATGGCTGTCAACTGCAAGGCAGGAGGGGAAAGGTGTCAGGTAGGTTTGGAGGTGGGGCGGGCTTGGCGTGGCATTTTACTTTTCATGGAAGACCATAACCAACTCAAACTGGATGTGAAAATGAGAGTCCCAGACCCAGTTGCTTGAAAACCAGACATGCTCTTCTTTTGCCGGGCTGCAAAGTCATGCTGGACCAGAGAGGCGGTAGGGCCTAGATTCTGCTTTCAGTGGAACTTGATTCCATTATCCTGTGCATGGGCTAATTTATGACCAAGTCTTTAAGCTTGTCTGGTCCCATTTAGGCCATGGAAAGAAGAGGGATTAATCACACCCAGCCCAGGGGATCAGCTCTAAGAACTGTGGCCAGCACCTCCTGGTGGTCATTGCTGGTGTGTGTGTGTGTGTGTGTGTGTGTGTGTGTGTGTGAGAGAGAGAGAGAGAGAGAGATTGATTGATTGATTGATTGGTTCACACACAGATGGGAGAAGCTGGGGGAGGTTTCTTGAGTATCAGCCTCCCCAGGATATCTCAGGTTTGACTTTCTACTGAGGGTATTGATGGGCAGGACTGAAGCAGGTCAGAGCTTAGACTTTCTCTTCATGGAGCTTAGCATTTGTCTTTGGTGGCAGTGATGAAGTCAGGATGAGCACAGGCTCACGTGTTGATTTTATGTGTTTTGCTTCAGTAATACACCCTCTTCATCATGGGGTGGGCTACGACATGTGGGCAGACTGAGGATGTGTGCCCTTTCAAGGCAACTGACAGCTGGAGCCCTATGGCTGGTGGAGGCAGACACAGGGCAGGGGCTCTCAGCTGGCCAGGAAGAGGGCACATTGTTGCTGGCTGGCTCAGCTGGAGCCTTAGTTGGCAGTAAAAGGGTTTTAATGTGGCCAAAGTATGTGTGTAGCTGATCTTAGAACTGATCAAAGGAATTAAAGATCCAAAATATCATTCAACAGTTATTGTTTTGCGTGTGTGTGTGTCTGTGTGTGTATGTATGTATGTCTGTTCATCTAATTAATGCTATAGTAACTGTTTCAAGTTTAATTAACTACAAATAGTTTTATGTTTCATTTATATGAGAAGTATAGACTAGCTGGAGATCTAATTGAATCCCTGCATCTTAAAATGTCAGAGCTGGGCGGCCTCTTAGAGATTGTTTGTCCCATTTCTCCCATTTGGTGCATCTAACATTGGGACCTAGAAAGGAGGGGTGACTAACCCAGGATCACTCAGCGAGATCCAGGTCTCTTATCTTGGTTTACACTAGAGTGTGCAAGAACTGTGTGTGCTGCTGGTGTGAACCTGAGGTTATTCCATCAGTAAGCCACAGTGCCTGATTTGGGAGTGCAGCCTTATTGGTAGCAACCAGGGGCAACAGATTCTCTGTGTAAAGACACCCCCAACAGTGATGATCAGCCAATATCCCATCACATTTGCATGGAGCTTTGAAGTTTGTAATGCATTGCTATGCATGCATCATCTTCTCTGATCTTCTCCATGACCCCGTGCCCTAAGGGTTAGCCCCATTCAATGAATATAGAAACCCACCTCATAGAGGTCAATCCCTAGGGGCTCCTGAACTTCCCTATTTCCTGTAGACTGATCATTTTTCCACTGATTTTTCTCTCTCTCCCCACCATCCCCTTACTACTTCTTCCCAAGAGCCTCCCTCTCATTTTCCCAACTCTTGCCAGTGTCAGCTGTGTCCACTGACCCTTGGTCAATTCCTAGAGTGATATGGAACAAGGAAAGGGAAACTTGCAGAATGGGAGATCTAGTTTCCCGCTTCTCTTGCTTCCTAACTGGACAGAGCAGTCATGAGCTTGGGCAAATCAGGTCACCATTGATATCATCCCCTTTTTTTTCCACTGGTTTATCTTAGGAATAAAAGCTGAAGCTTTTCCCCCCTCCCTGCTGGCCCTCATGTTAACCCCCTTCTTTTCTGACATTCTCCAAAATATTTAAAAGAGACATCTTCATTTTCTGTCATCAGTATTTCATTCCTTAATGCCTTGCAGTCTGGCTCTTGCTTCTAACCTCCAAGTTTGAAGGTCACTAAGATCCACTTGTTTGCCAAACTCAACACTGTTTTCCAGTCCTCAGTCTCCCTGTGGGTCACTTTCTTCCTTCTAGAAACCTGCCATTGGTTAATGAGTCAGAAAATGCTAGGTCGTGCTGCAGATACAAACAATTACCCCAGTGTCTTGATGCAACAGAGGTTGATTTCTCACTCCTAAGTGGCCTGGACCCACAGTCCAGCCACTGCTGGAACATTCATGGTCATCGTAGTAGAGGGAAAGAAGAAGGAGACTCTCAAATGTGCCACATAGAAGTGAGATATCACTTTCACTCATGACTCATTGGCTAAAAAAGTCATATATTTCCACTAACCATTGCAGGGAGTCAGGAATTCCAGTTCTGCTGTGCTCCTGGTGGGGCAGACAGACTGTTTGATCAACAGCACTCATGACGACCCTACTTCCATGCAACCCTGATGCTTCCTACCTCCCTCGACACCCCTTCTTTGCCTCCCTTTCTGGCTACTCTTCCTTCTCTCAACTCCTAAATGCAGACATTCTCCAAGATTCTCCAATATGCCCTTTCAATTTTTTCTCTGTCATCTACTCCAATCCTTTCTCTACATCTTTCTTTGCAAACATCTCCCAAATATGTGTCTCCCCTCTGTCTGACCTTTTTCCTGATTTCTGGTCTAAATTCAGACATGTACAAAACCAGACTCTGAATCCATGCACCAAAGGTCAATCTTTTCCAGCATTTTCCTTTCAGTCAACTGAGAAGCTGGAGGTACAGACTCCTGTTTCTCTGCTCAGCTGCCTTACTGTTGACCCTCTTCCACCTGGGGGGACTCCTTGGTTTGACACTTTCTCTGGCAGCTGTGCTCCTGGTGCTCCTGATGATCTGCTGAAATAGAACCCCAGGCATGGGGGCTCCAGATCTGCAGAAGGAAGAGACGCACCCTGGAGCTCCACTGTCTTGCCCTCTTGCCCCATCTGTTACTTCATTGTTTGGCATGGAAATCGCCATGTCTTTATTTCTAGCTCCAGTCTCAGATCTGTGTTTTAGTCCAATATTCTGCATCTACTGGAAGTCTAAGCCAGAGGGCAATCCTGGGGAGGTCCCCTATCTTTCTCAGCCCCTCTCATTTCTTGCAGCAACATCTGCACAGCAATTCAGATCTAGGTCTCTGAATTTCATCAGTTCTTCTTTGTGATTCAAAGTCCTTCCTTGCCCTCAAAATGGAGTACTCAATTGTCTCTAAGAGTTGTATGATCATTGCTTTTCAGGTCTATCATTTTATAAGAAGGGGAACTGAGGTCCAGAGAAAATGAGTGATTTTGCCGTCATCCCTATGATTCATCTAAGCACCATCCACCAGGCCTCTTGCCTCTGTGAGTTGTTCAGGGCTCTGGTCTGCCCACAGCTCTGCAGACATTTGTGTGTGAGAAAGGGGAAAGTGGGGATGCTGAAAGATGGCGGCAAAGTTGGTGTCTGCCGACTGAGTATGGCCACTTGTCACTGCTGGCTGAGGTCAGCCACGCTGGGCCCCACCAAGCAAAACCTTGGATGGCAATAAATAGAGCCATTTAGCTCTAACATGCTGAGCCCAGGAGAGGGTGAGGCATGGGAGGCGGAGTGGATCCAAGGAGCTCTTGGCACGTCAGGCTTGGTAATGCACTCTTCCCCCTCCTTGCAAAGGCCCGATTTGGTTATGTCTGAGCAGCTGGGGAGCTTTGCCTCAGATGCCTCCTGTGGCCCCAGTGCCCTGGCAGTCCCAGTATCGGCTGCCTGCTGTCTGATTGTCCATGGAAAGCCCAGCCAGATGGCCGCTGGGCCCTGGCAGTGTAGGATGTGAGACCACAAAGTCCTGGGCCTGGCTTGCCCCTGCCTCGTGCATGCCAGCTTTTGATTGGGAGATCCCAGGAGCTTGGATCTATAATCAGAGGTTTCTGGGCCCTGGATAAGGAAAGGAGAGTCCCTCTGATTACTGGGGGGTTCTTTAATTTGGTTCTTCCTTGTCGTCAGCTCTCTTGCCAGTGGGGCACAGGCAGGTGCAGGGGTGAGGCAGGATAGCTCCCTTGGGTGACCAAGGGTAGTAAATAACCTCTGGGGGCTGCCCTTCTGCTGGGTGGTGGCCTGGTGGTGGGGAATGAAGGGCTACTGGGAACAAGAAGGCCTGTTTGCCTCAAATCTGCAGAGAAAGCACCTGGGCTCAAAGTGAGAGGCCTGTGTCCGACCTGATTCACGAGGGTGTCTTGTACTTCTGGCCTTAGGTGGCAAGTCCTCCCTCTGGTTGGCTTTGTCTGTTTCTTTCCAGTCTCCTGTCCACTGGCCTCCCCCTGCTCACTCTGTCCCTGTCACTGTGGCCTGCTTACTGCTCCTCATAGCTTCCAAGCATGGTCTACTGCGGGGCCTGTGCTCTGGCAGTCCCCTGTGCCTGGAATACTGTCCCCTCATGCCCTTTGGCTTGCTCACCAACTTTCTTCTAGTGTTTGTGCAAATCTCAATGTTTTCAATGAGGCAGACCCTGACCACCCTGTTTAATCTTGGAAACTTCCCCATCCTCCATGCACATCATCTCCGTTTTACCTTGCCCTGTTCTCTCATATTTTCTGTAGCACTCATTACCTTCTTATATAAGTAATACTACATATTTATTATGCTTTTATTTTAATGTCTTTATTCCTCCACTAGAATTTAAGCTCCCTGAGGACTGAGGTCTTTGTTCTATTCACTATTAGAACCATGTCTGGTACGTAACAAGTCCTCAACAAGTAAATGAATCTGCAGGGAATCATGATGATAGCAAACCCCACCTCACAGGATTGTCGAGGGAGTCCACTGGGCGCTGTCTGGAAACAGGCTTTTAAATGTATAGGGGTCCACTGTCAACTTAAGGCTGTAGATGTACCACAGTGGGATGATGTTAAGAGGGCTTAAAGGCCACACCAGAAGGGAGGTGTTACTGGAATAAATGTGCGGCAGGCCTTGAGTCTGATAGTGGACCGTACTGTCAGCTGGTTGAGTCCACAGTTGAAAGGGTGATGCCTTCCATGTTCACCATCTGGAGCTGCTGGGGGCTGAGCCACAGGTGGGTTGTTACTAATGGTGGTTACTGAAGTGAAGTGTACAATAGCTTTCCTGGGTAGAATGGAAAGGGATGGAGTTACACCACAGGCTAGAAGGAGGTGTGGCCACAGTGAATTTCAGCTGTGCTGCAGCCTGTGGCCCAGGGGAGTGTCCACGCAAATAAATGACATATGTTTAGGGGCTGGAAGAAGGTTGAAAATTATTATCCTCACCTGGGTCATGCCTCATAGGTAGGTTGCTGTGGGTTCAAAGTGTGGAATGGGAGAGCTGTGGAGCTTGGAGGGTATCAGACGACATGTCTCAGCCTTTTCTGCTGCATCTTGCACTTTTGACCTTCCTTTTCTTCCCACTCTCTTGTGCTCAAAGTCTTCCCTCCTCAGACCCCTGCATCTGGGACCCCTGGCTCTATACAGGTCTAGCATGCATGAAATCTGACCACGCTGGGAGTGTGGGCTGGTGCTCAACGTTGCTAATCGCTCCCCAGTGCAGTCTCAGTTATTAATATCTTGGAAGAGGGGGCCCTACAGGCCACAGCTGATCTAATCTTCACAATCAGCAGGGACTTTACAGTGATCAAAAAGCCATTTCCTGCTGAACATATTGATACCAGAAGGTTCTAAGTCATATAAGAGAAAAGTTGATAGGTAGGGCCCTGGGAGATTGGTAGGTTCTGGCCAGGGCAGTGTCCAGGGTGGTCTGCATCCAGTGTTGTGCAACTCTCTTGTGAGACCATCCTGGCACTTCCCTCTGCAGCGTGTGCACACCTTGGAGATTGTTCACTCTTATGGTCAACTGGGAGTGTGAGTGAAGGGAGACGGGGACAGGCTTGAGTCTGAGTGAAGGCAGTTGTTCTGTGTGAGGTGTTGTTACTTTCTAATTGTCTCCAGTGTTTGGAAAGACTGGAGGACCGAGGAAGAAAACGCAGCCTTCCCTCTCCACTTGGGAATGCCCCGGGACAAGAAGATGAACTTAAGTGCTTCAGGGGGGTCTTTCTTCCTGACGGAGGGTGTAGAGGGGCCATGGGAGGCTAGACTTTAGGCCAGGGCAAAGAGCTTAGGGAGAAAAATGGGAGTGTATTAGGATACTCTCCAATGCAAGTGACAAAAATCCAACCTAACCTATCTTAAGCAAATAGGGGGATTTATCGTTGAATTAAAGTCTTGGCTCAAATGACATCATTAGGCTCTGCTCACTGAAGTCCTTGTCTCTGCTCCCCACTGCTGCTGGCTCTATTCTGCAGACGGCTCTGTCCCTGGGTTGGAGAAATGGCTGCTGACAGCCTCAGACTCATGTGCTTGCCGCTTGACACCAACACTGAACCAAAAGAGAGGTCTATGTCCCAGCTTATGTAGAGAAAACATAAGACTGGCTCTGTGGGTCATTTGCCATTGAAAAACCAATCCCAGCCACCTGTAGCCTGGGCCAGGGAGAGTGTGGTAGTGAGAACACCCCAACTGACAGAGCTCCATGACTGTGTGGAGTAGATTGCCTACAATGGAGCCACAGCAATGCTTCATTTCCCCCTTTACCATGGGCTAATCTTTCTTTCCATTTACCATTCCCTAGGGCCAAGGGTTACCAACTCTGAGTTAGAATGAGGTGAAAATATTCAAGAGTTAATGCAACCATTTGCCTTTCAAATCAATTGCACATGTAGGGAGGAAACTGCTGAGAGATTACTACGATCCCGTTACTGCTGGGGGCCTAGTTTTCCCTCTTTTTAAACAGGAGTGTATATAGTAGTCATGTTCATCCCACCATTGAATGTTGGGTGTGTAGGGGGCAGATAACATGTCACTCTCATTCAAAGGTCTTCATATCGATTAAGGCCCTGTGGAAGAAGAACCACACCTGTGGGGTCTCCTTGGCATTTGGACCTGGTTTAGATGAAAAGATCCTGGATGTCAAGCTGGTGCCAGCTACAGTGGGACTTGGGGATCCCGGGGCCAGCACAGGGGCACGTTGCACATGGAAAAAATGTTAATGGTTTGAAGTGTGGTTGTGGCAGTGATGTTGTGACCTTGGCAGACTGTATTTTCAACAGATGCCACAACAATATCTTCCATCCCACGCGCTCTTTTTGCAATGTGACCTTGCCAGTCCACTGTTGAGAGGCAGAATCTGTGTCCCTTCACCTTCAACCTGGGTGGGTCTTTGCCACTGTTTCAACTCATAGAATGTGGTGAAGCAACGCTATGGACATCCAGGGTTAGGCCCTAAAGGTTGATGCAGTTTTGGACTGGCTCTCCCTCTTTTAGGGACACTTGCTTTGGGGAAGTCTGGGCCTTGGGGAGGGGCCACACGTAGGAGTTTGAGCTGCAGCATCAATTGCCAGACATCTGAGTGAGCAAGCCTTTGATCTCCAGTTCTGTCTGACCACAACTGCATGGCAGATCCTGACAGAAAACCAACTAGCTGAGCACAGTCAACCCTCAAAACTGCAAGAGATATATTAATAATAATATTAATAGAGGATTTTTGTATGCCCCAAAGTTTGGGATGGTTTTTTACATACAATAAATAATGATAACTGTTGAAATTGGAGATCCCAGGGGAATCTTAACTGTCCACAACTTTGAGATGAGCTGAGGCTGTGGCTACTTAAATTCTAAAATAGATTTTAAGAACAACAATGTGGATTAGAGGGAGGCTGCCCTGTGAGTAGGGTTAATCAGAGAAGTCAAAGCAGGCATCAAACAGGTAGTTGAATTTTTGAGGGGGGACATTTTGGCTAAAAGTGTTATTAAAAACATGGTCAGAAAGATCCTATATCCCTCAGAAACTTCCCTCTGGAGGGTGAAGATGTAGGAATAGAATCAAGTGACAATTTTATTTTTAGTTCTCATTTTCCCACATCACCTGATTAAGTTCAGGTTTAGTTCTGGAGGATTATAACTGTGGGAACCTTAATGAGGACTCCATCAGCTCTCATGATGGGAGACATTTTTGCTGATAATCTTTCAAGTCCTCCCAATACCTCAAAGCCTTCCCTGATTGGCCTGCCCTCAGTGGTCTCTCCCTGGAATGAGCATCTACCCTACATGGCTAAGTGCTTAATTACAGCATTTCCCTTCACTGCCCTCGGGACAAATGCCTTAGTGGGGCAGGCAGTGCTACTCACCAGCCAGGCTGTCTTCTCATCCACAGCCTTCCAGAACATTTGGTGGCTCCATGAACAATGCACTGCACCTTCTCTTGCCTCATGGGCCTTTGCTGAGGCTGTTCCTTCTGTCAGAAATACTATTCCCTTTGCTCTCTTTTCTTTCCTTCCCTCCCCACTGCCACCACTTCCCACTGGGAAACATATACATGCTCCTATCCTCATCTACCCCTCTTCATCTAGCTAATGGCTACTCACCTCCCAGGAGTCCATTAAGAAGCCCCTTCCTTGAGGAAGCCTTCCATAACTGCCAGGGGTGGGATAGGGCTCATCCTTCCTTACACTTTCTCTTACATACATTTCTCTCACTCTTTTGTAATTGTCTGGTTCCTGGATCCATCTAGAAGGTGACCTCTGTGAAGGCAGAGACTGTGATCAGTTCATCTTGGTGCCTTTTTTTTTCAGTCTTGTCTTCCTCAGCTGGAACCTCCTATAGGTAGGAATCAGGCTTTCTCTTTACACCGCATGGAGAGAAGCATATGTGAGGGCTCCATACAGCTAGGTGACTGACTAATACGTTTTGGAGAGAGCAGTCAGAGACATAATCACCCGTGAATTCGTCTGTTTAGCATAATGAATGAGAGTATGGGTTCTGAAGTCAGCACAAGACCTGGTTTGAGCCACAGCTCCTTGGTGTGCCACTTTCCCAGGAGGGGGACTCAGACCTCCAGGCAAGACAGATGTTGTCAAGGAGCTTGGAGTGGGGCAGTTGGCTGATGGCCTCCAGCTACTGCATCTTTGGGATCCTCTGCAGTGTTTGAGCCAAGCTTGCTCTCACCCTGGGCTTCTCCCAGCCAACAGCTGAGCACAGCAGCACTCCAGGGGCCTGGGTATTTCAGCTCTGTGTGGGACCCTCTGCAGGCAATCTTTGCACTGGAGCTATCTGTTGGGCCATGAGATTTTTTCAGATATGCATTAAAGTCAGGCCTTTCTGCCCAATCTTTCTTCCTCCTGCCAATCCTTTTGCAGATGTCTGAAAGTCCTCCTGCTTCTCCCTTTCCCTCTCCCTGTTGTCTTTCACAGTTGTTTTTCCAATAAATCTCTTGCACTTCTAACTTTGCTTGACATCTGCTTTCCAGAGCAGCAACTGACACACTCTGTCACCTTAGATAGACTTCTTCACTGGTCTCTGCCTCAGTTTTCTCATCTATACAATGGGTGTAGAAACAGTAACAGTTTCATAGTTCAATAGTGAGGATTAAATGAGACCATACATGTTAAGTGCTTACTGTGGTTTCTGGCACATAATAAGTACTCAAAAAACCCAGCCAGGTACAGCCACATATAAAACCTAACACCTATAATCCACCAGACCTGGTGTTTCCCAGAGTGTCTTCCTTGTCTGTCTGCCCTGATCCCCCAGCCCCCAGCTCCAGGTCTGGCATGCAGTGGGTACTCAGTGAAAGCTAAGTGGGAGTGGAGGCCAGGAAAGCACTTCCTGCTTTCACAGCTGGAACAGCAAATGCAGTCCCTGAGCTGGCCCCTGTGAATGGACCTGCCTCTGGAGCCACAGCCACCCCTTGAAGACTCGCATGAGCTGGGCCAGGATGAAGACACACCCAGGTGGCCACCAGCAGGGCTCCTTTGCTGATCCCTGCCAGTGGGTGGCTTTACTGACCCTAGGGCTACCTCATCATGTGGCAGAAAGAAGGGGAGAGTGAGGGAATCCTTCTCCCTCTCTGTGGAAAGAGGTCCCACATGTCCCCTCTGGAAAAGGCCAGGCTCCTGGAGCCCCTGTAGTGGGCCTGACTAAGCCAGTTGCTCAGTCTCAGAGGGTGTGGGCAGGTGCACAGGCCTGAAGGTGACACCTGACCCCAACTCGGAGCCCCTCCGTGGCCAGGAATTAACAATTCTTAGGGCCTGGCTTTTCAGGATGCTGCTAATGGAAGCAATAGAGGGAGGTGAGGCCATGAGATGCCCTCTTATTTGTGGGGTCACAGGTGGTGCACTGTACAAATGCATTCATAGCCCAGGATCGCTCACTACAGATGGCCCTGGTGATGGTCTGTGAGCCCCCAGGAGGTCAGTGTGCATCTGCCTGCCCTGGGCCTGTGGACAGAAAAAGCTGTAGATCATAGAGGCTTCAATTAGTTGTCCTTGGACCATTCATTTATGAGGTGACTATTTGGAAAAAGCCATTGTTCAATATAGATGTTGCAAAAGCTATTTTCGCCTGGGAATCTTTTCTGGAACAAGGGACCCAGGGCTTGCCTAAGCTGACCTCCATGGCTTAGAGAGAGGGCCATTTTTCTCTCTGCTTTCCTTAGAAACTGGGGCTGGGTCTCAGGGGTCAAGCACTCAGCAACATGCCACCACCCTTGACTGAGCACTTCCATGGGTAGAGTACTGTGTTAGCCTTCATAGATGTCATTTCCAATGGATACTCATAGAAACCCTACGAGGGAGGTCATCAGGGACCACCCCCTGCCCATTTTATAGATGAGGAATCAACTAAGGCTCAGAGACAAAATGTCTTGTGGAGGCCCATGGTGAGAGAAGCCAGGGTTTCATTCCCTGCGTCCAGATGTCAGTGTCTAGTGTCCCATCTGAGTGCATTGTCTCTCAATGTACTCAGAGGGTCAGGGAGCTGGGAGGCTAGAGGGTATCTTGCAGATCACCAAAATAAAGGGCTCCTTGGAAAATCTGTGAGTTCTTCCTTTAATCCTTCCTAAAATACTTTACCCAAATAAAATTCCAGGGACCCCAGCCACCTACGTTCCTGGCTCCAGCCATGAGAAAACTCTATGTCCAAGCATGTTAAGGCTGATATCTTTTCCAGTTTGCAAAAATTTCTTTAAGTTTCATTGAAAGATGTTCTCTCTTGTGGGTATTTATAAATATATATGTCCAAATAAAATGAATTTTAGAGGCTAGGGTTACTGCCTGGTAACACTGCTGTGGAAGAAGACCAGGATGTGGCCCATAGTAGGCTGGATTGACTGAGCTTTGGGAAGGCAATATGCAAATGGATGACAGGGGCCTCTCTGGGGCACGTGAGTGCCAGGCAGGGCTGGCTTCATGAGTGTGGGGCCAGTGTAGTCAACCAGGAACTCCATGCTTAGATGGGCCCTGTGCTTGGAATTTATACACCGCACTCACTGACTTGAAATTTGTAATAATTTTATCTTTGCATTTGTGTTTCGTAAGTCAAGTCTGATGGGACATGTAACATGTGCTTGGAGCCCTGGCTTATGTGAGCTTCTCACTTACCCTGATCCTGGTTTGCTCTAATGCAGAGGCTGCAATACCCTTGGGGGTTGCCAGTTTGCTGTGGGTGGGGGCAGTGGGCTCATGGGAAGGGAAGATGCCTGGCTTGACTTCCTTGCTTCTCACTAGAGCATGGCGTGAGGGTACAGTGGCGGCTATTAGAAGGAGGCCCTAGCAGTTGGTGAGCTGATTGCTCAATGAATCAGGGGTTGGGACTTCTGGGCACCTGTGAAGGTCAGCATTTGCCTTGCAAGGATACCTGTGCTTGAGTAATCATGGCATTAAATAGCATAGAAAAACCACCATCACCATCATAGGGGTGCTGGGTAGCTCTGATACTGCCATACATGTATCCTGGAATTGAACAATTGAGTAAATGGATGGCAGATGGCAGGAACTTTGTTCTTACTGTTAGAGAAGGAGGTTATAGACAAGCGAGGAGAGGAGGCCAGAATGATTCATGTTGTAACAGATTAGAGTTGGAGACATTGGCATAAACTCACGTTTAGTTTAATATAGACACAGATAGATATGTATTTAAATTTACAGGTGTGTGTAGATACACACATTAGTATACCCATATGTATTTACTTTCTCTGTCAGCTGAGAGAGCCTAGAAGCAAGAACACCTCAGTAGCAATGAGCATATATAGTGCCCAGATATTGGTTTCTAATACCATTCTCTAGTAAGAGGAACTATGGGCTGATTCTGGGACTGGAGTAAGAAATATGTAAGGTGAGCCTGGAGGATCTTGTAGTGCCATAAAATAAGAAAGTGCTCAAAACCATCAAACCACCCTCAGCAAAAAGGGTACTATAGGAGTGCAGCAGTAACTAAAAGAGTTACCAACGGCCAAGTTGAAACAATTTGAGCAAGAAAATAAAGAGTAGTAATTTATATAAACAAATGAGCGAATAGAAAAACAGAGGAAGAATAGACAAATCTCCTGTGTGGAAGAATTCCAAATCATTTATGTAGGTACTCCGTCCTCAAAGAGGTGGAACGTAACTCCACATCTCTCAAGAGTGGGATGCACACAGTGACTTACTGCCAAAGAATGATGGGGGAAAAATAGAGTAACTTTTCAGTGGAGAAACCTGGCAAGTGTGACTTCAGCCAGGTGATCAAGGTCACCGTCAGCAGTGATAAGTCATATTGACTGTACATCTCTATGTCTTTCCCTACCACCCACTCTTGTTGCCCAACTTCCACATTTGTCAGGTTTCCAACCCCACCTGGCAGCCTCCCCACCAATCCTGCCCATTGACCAAGGCCCACACCCAGGCCCTTCTTGCAGGAGCCTCCCCTGAGCCCCAGGTTGCAGGGCTCTGTATGTGTTTAGCTCATCAGGTGCCCCTTATGGAGTTTAGGCTCTTGCAGAGCTGAGATTGGGAGCTCCCAGAGGGAGACAGGGCAGGACCAGCTCCCACCTCTTATTTCCTCATCTCTGGGGCTGTGGGTCCTGACTGGTAGGCTGCAGCTCACAAATATTCTTTTTTTTTTTTTTTTTTTTTTCTGAGATGGAGTCTCCCGCTGTCACCCAGGCTGGAATACAGTGGTGGGATCTTGGCTCACTGCAACCTCCATCTCCCAGGCTCAAGTAATTCTCCTGCTTCAGCCTCCTGAGTAGCTGGGATTACAGGCATGTGCCACCATGGCTGACTAATTTTTGTATTTTTAGTAAAGATGGGTTTTCACCATGTTGGCCAGACTGGTCTTGAACTCCTGACCTCAGGTGATCTGCTCACCTCAGCCTACCAATGTGCTGAGATCACAGGCGAGAGCCACTGTGCTAGGGCCACAAGTATTCTTGACGAGGATTTGTTTGTGCTTCAGGGAAATTCATGTGGAGGATAAGTAGGGCTTGGAGATAAGGGGTCCTGAAGGATTTGGCTGCTGGAAAGTTTTGGATTTGTGGCTTCTCTCTACCTCCTGGGCTTACCTGACTGCTGTCTCTCCCTTCCTCTCCCTGCTGTCTTCCTCTACTTGCCCCTCTCTCTCATGAGGTGCCTGCTAACTGCCAACTTATCCCTGCCAAGCAGGAGACACCGATGCTGCCCAGTTCTCTCTCTCCTCTACACAGGCCAGGACATCTTTTGGACCCGTGGTAAATCTGTTCCTGTCACTCTTTTGCATGAGATCTTCCTGAGCTTCTCCAGAGGCCTCTGGAAGGAGTGCAACTTAACGAGGATATGATTTGAGCTCTAGTGGCAAGACCTTGGTGTCACTTAAAATGTTCTTCTCTGCCTTCATACATTTATTTAGCAAATACAGTTTGAGTTCCTATCCCATGCCAGGCATTAGGAATAAGGTGGTGAAGACACAGTTTCTACCCTCAAGGTACTTAAATTCTAGTAGGGCAGAGGGCTGGTAGACAGATAATTTAAAACAATGCCATATGCATTATCTTAGGGGTTTTAGGAGCACAGCAAACTAGCCTTTAACTAGCATTGGCTGGGATCAGAAAATGCTTCCCTGCAGAAGTCACAGCTGAGATCTCTAGTGAAGGTTCTCTAAGGGATGGCACTCAGACCCAGGCCTCTTCTTCCTAGAGAGAGCATTAGAGAGGGGCAGAGAGGACAACCGGGTAAAGGCTTGGAAGGGACAGAAATAACCAGGGGGTTTTGGATCAAGGGCTAAGTACAGGTACCAGCACCGGGGCCCAAGTCAGAATGGGATAAGTGGCCCAGCTGACTGAGGACTTAGCAACTGTGTGCAGCTAGCTGGAATCCTACCCTCCCTCCCTCTCTCTCCCTCCCTGTCTCTCCCTCCCTCTCTCTCCCTCTCTCCCTCCTTCCTTTCCCTCCCCTCCCTTCTGCTCCCTTCCTTCTTTTACCTCCCCTCCCCGCCCTTCCTGCTTTTCCCTCCCCTCCCCTCCCTTCCCTTCTCTCCCCTTCCCTCTCCTCCTCTCCTCCCCTCTCCTCTCTCCTCTCCCCTCCCTTCCTTCTTTCTCTCTCTTTGCTTCTTTACCCTCTCTTCCTCTCCTTTTCCCTCCTCTTTCCTCCCCACCTCTCCCCTCCCATTTCCTCCCCTCCCTTCCCCTCCCCCTCCCCTCCTTTCCTCAACCCCTCCCCTTCCCTCCTCTCCCCTCTCTCCCCTTTCCTCTTCCTCCTCCTCTCCTCTCCTTATCTCTCCTCTCCTCTCCCTTCCCTTCCCTTCCCTTCCCTTCCCTTCCCTTCCCTTCCCTTCCCTTCCCTTCCCTTCCCCTCCCCTCCCCTCCCCTCCCCTTCCCCTTCCCCTCTTCCTTCCTTCCTTCTGGGCTGAGCTTATGTGGGGGCCTGAGTGACCCCAGCTGTGATTGGAGTGCTACAGGGCCCTGAGCCATCAGCCTAGCATTGTCATCAACTCATTGGCGGGGTCACGATGGCAAAACTGCTTGTTCTGCCTCAGCTGGGACAGACTGGGGGGGTGGCGATGACTTGCCAGCCAAGTGAGAATAAACACAGCATACTTCTAGTCCAGTCCTGCGGGGCCTTGGTCTTGACCTGCCAAGGCCATTCCTGGGCACACTCTGCTTCTCTCTCCAGCCAGACCACTGTGTTTGTGCAAAAAGAGGTCGAGCTCATTGCATATCCAGCATGGATCCCCTGCCCTTGGCTCTGGGGAATGATCTGGAGGCACTGTGCCGGAGTGCTGTGTGTACTGTTGAGGCTCCATAAATGTTCAAGAGCTGTAGACTTCAGGGCTAGAGGGATCTTTGGAATCAGCCCAACCCAACCCCCTTTCACAAGGGTTCTCAACAGGGACACCCCCAAGTATTAGGGACTAGAATCACTTGGGAGGGCACTTTCAAATTAAATGGACCCCCTCAGCAATTCAGATCATTGCCTCCCAGGGGTGTGTGTGTTGGGGGGGATGGGTGGAAGGTAAATAATGTGTCCTAACCGTGTTGAGTTGGAGCAGATGGGTGATTGCAAACTATAACCCACCAAATTCCATCTTCCAGACCCTGCCTGAATGCCTCTAGCTATGGAACTCTCTGCATGCATAGTGTCCATTTTTGTTGTTAGACAGCTTGACCATTAGAGAGAAGAGCTGCGTCCCTGGACTGATACCATTGGTTCTAGTTCAACGGAGAGACACAGCTTGGAGTCGGACAAACCTGGATTTTAATCTCACTTCTGCCATTTATTTAGACATACACGCTTGTCAAGAGACCTACCACCTCTAAGTCCCTTTTTTCCCTTCTTCAAAATAGGGATAATTGTGGCTACTTTTTGGAGTTGTTGTAGGGATTGCAGGAAATGATGAGAGTAGAGAGCTCATCCTAATGCCTGGCAGTCACTCAGTATCTTGTATTCCAGGGAGCCTGTTGGCTCCCTCTTCTGTGAGGTTGTGCTTCAGGTATGTGAAGATGGTGCTTATGCTCCCCTGCTACTACTTATTACAAATGGGAGCATCAGTCTGTTTTTATTAAACACAGGGCAAGCAGAGCAGGAGTGTAATAGTCCAGTAGATCTGCCATTATCAAGTACACAGAATGGGTGGCCTAAACAGCAGAAATCAATTGTTTTACAATTCCAGAGTCTAGAATTCTAAGATGAAGGTGTTGGCAGGGTTGATTTCTTTGGAGGCCTCTCTTTTTGGCTCATGGATGACTGTCTTCTCCCTGTGTCCTCACATGGTCTTTCTTATGTTTCTGTGTCCCAGTCTTCTCTTCTTACAAGGATACTGGTCATACTGGATTAAGGCTTCCCTAATAATCTCATTTTAGCTTAATTACCTCTGTCTTCGACTACAGTCCCATTCTGAGGTCCTGGGGGTTAGAATTTCTACATATAAATTTCAAGGAACACAATTCAGTCCATAACAAGGTTTCAGAGGAAAGCACAGATGTTTAAGGTAGTTTAGTTGAGCGATAAGCTGAATGCCATTCGTGTTTGCTCGCCGTTGGTTGACCTGCCTAGTGGTCCTATCCTGAGGCCCAGCTGGATGGAAGCCGCCTGCCTGGGCCTGGGCTACTGCTGGCACTCCACAGCGTGGGGGAGCTCTGCCCTCTCTACTGAGTGGCTGTGGAGTGCATTTCCATCGCTGACACCTTGAAATGTTTTATAGGGCAATTCCTGCTTGTCAGCAGCCGCGTTTCTTAATCAGCTCCTCGTTCATTTCTCTAAAGGCGCCTGACACTTTTGACTAGCTCCAGAGGGTTTGGTGTGGGCACGAACATCCATGTGTTCTTGGATCCAAGTGCACTCATACCCTGGGACCATGCCAGAATTCCCAACTTCTTCCATTATTCTTAGCCTTGAAATGGTGAGAGCAGGCATTTCAAAACCAGACTTGGGTTTTTGCAAACATAGTTTGGCCTTCCTGCCTACCTATTTTTATTTCCTTCATATTTGGAAAGAGAAAATTCCCAGACATGGGCCTGGGAATCAGGCCATTCTCAGGTCAGCTTGTAGCTCCAGTTTCTTACTTCTTGCCTCTGCCTTTTCAGAGAAAGCATTGTTTTAGCAAACTGCATTGTGGACTCCCATGAATGGATCAGGTGGTCACCTCTACCCAGTGAAGGGCATTGGAATGGTAGTTCTGGCTCCACCAGCTGCTCTTGTGTTCTTGCAACTGTGGCCCCTTTCAGGTGTGTAGAGGAGCAGAGCTGTTGATATAGCTGCCCCGGTGGAGTAAATGTTATGTCCATTGTTTTGGTTGGAATTACTGTCCCCAGGTACATGTTCATCCTACCTGGTCCTGCACACTGGCAATCTGGCAGCCACCAACTTCATCTAGGATCTGCTTCAGGAAAGTGATTAATATTCAGGCCCATCCCCAGCTCCTGCCCTTCCTTTTGCCATATTGTTTGTCCTGTGGCCTGGGCCACCAGAGCACAGCTATGGCTCCTTCCTTCTCAGCCACATACCACAGGGGACATAAACCCAGAGGAATAGTCCTTGCTGTGGTCTATCTTTCCTGGATGTAAGGCTTGTGCCCCCTGCCTGCCTTTGGTGGTACCTAGGTAATGTCATCTATGGGTGGGGACAGAGGGTCTTTTTCGCTATAAGGAGATAGCTTTGGCAGCAGTGGCTGTTTGAAAGAAGATTGGCCCCAGCCAGGGGAGTTCCTGCAACCCTCATCCATCAGCAACACTGCTTGGGTGTAAGTGAGAATGAAACAGCTGAAAACATTTGTTTAGCTTTTATACACATTTGTTTGAACGTTATTTATTTTTCCTCTCCTGCTGTGCCTTCTCTAGGAACAGGCAGGGAAGCTAGCTTTTTAGATCTCTTCTAGCATTTTGCAATGGTGGTGTGTTTGAGAGTAAGTGTGCATTTATTTAATGAGCCCTAAGTATTAATTTTATTTTCAGGAAAAAATTCATGAAAATGCACCCCCTGCCAACCAAATTCAGTGGACCAAGCACTTTGCCTATTTTGATGGGAGGAGTAGAGGTTGACAGCAAGCCTCGTGCCTGGCAGAGGATGAGGATTAGTGACAGGGGCTCTGACTGTGTAGGAATCTCCAGATATGGCCAGTAGGATTGTGAATTCCCCTGAAACCATGCCAGACAAGGACCAGGTGAAAGATTTCAGGGGTGGATAGCATGGAGAAACTTGGGGTGGCAGAAAAAAGTGTCATCAGTACCCAAAAGGCCCTCTTGTGACCTTCTGTGCGTGGCTGTCTAGTGGACAGAACTAGGACCAATAGGTAGACTTTATGATGTGGCCAGTTTCAGCTTACCATAAGGACCCATTTCCTCATGGAGAGCTGTCCAGCATGGGTGGGGAGTGGAACCGTCAGAGACCAGCTGAAACTACTGAGCTGAGATGTGTGCAGGTGCCCTGAGTGCTGGTCATCCTCTTGCCCCTGAGCTTCCTCCTGAGACTTTGCATTCAGCCTGGAGTGCAGCAGCTGCGTATACTTACTTTACTTCTTAGCTTTGTCCTAGGTCTCTCTTTCCCTCCTTGTTGTCCCCACTGGAGAAGAGACCTTTTGTGATAGAGCTGCAGTAAGGCACAGTTTCAAGGTTGTACTACTTTGTGTTCAGTATTCTATGCTGCCTTCAGCCTCCTACCCCATGCCTACCTCCCTCCCTCCCCTCCCAGCTCCCTTCATGTCTGGCCGTCACCGCAACCTGCAGCATGGGGATCTGTCCTCCCAGCAGCAGGGCCCTGGGTTGTGCCCTTCTCAGGCCCTCACTTTATAGAGCGCACAGTGCAGCAATATTGTTGGAGCCAGGAGAAGTTATGGTCTAAGGAAGAGAGCAGCATGTGGGGACCATTGTGCACTAGAAGGAAATCCAGGACTCTCTTTGATGGGAAAGAGCCTGGATTAATAGGATCTGCCCTTTCTCCCAAGTTCTGGCTGCAGCATCCCACACCCTGCAGATCAGAAGGACACACTGAGCCTTCAGAAAGCTAGCAGGCCCCAGCTCCAGGCAGAATCAGCTCAGCTGTGCATGGGTATAACTGAGGTGATTCAGAGGCCAGGAAGAGTCCACGCCTTCACTCTTGGGTGGCCTTTTTTCTATGAAAGCTTTGGTCTGGTCAGTCACTGCACTGGGAAGAAGGCAGTGTAAGTTGTATGAAGTGTAAGAAGTATGTAAGTTCTGGGAGAACTTACATAACCTGAAAAAAAGTGGGGGTGGCACAGGAGCCAGGGTTGGCCTAGGGATGGTAGGATCCAAGTTTACTAGGTCCCCTCACACCTTGTGGAGTTCTTTCCCTGAGATGAATGTCCCAGGTTAATGGGGTCAGGGATGTGATTGGGACAAAAGTACAAGCAGAGAAGGATTAAAATGTTTGTGTGGTCCTAATTATATGAGCATGGTGACCATGTTGTTCACTGTTAATGGCCTGAAGTATTTAGCATTTCCATTTTTGTTTTAATGAAAATTGTGTGATTTTTACACTGTCATCAACAAAACATAAAGCCTCAGGCTGTATTTCACAATTTATGTAGTAGACCTTGTGCACTTTTGATACTTCCATTCCTAACACTTATATCTATTTTTAGGGGGACATGTAGGGAACATATGATATTTTTTTCTGATGTAGCATTCATGGACAGAAGGAAAGTCACTGAGGTGGCACTTAGCTGATGGGTGAAGAGTGACTTTCTCTGATGAACTTAGGGCTGACCTAGAGTTCAGACCTTGACCCTGGCACCCATAGGACTGGAAAACCTATGAAATAGAATTGACATGGGCTGGGTGCCATGGCTCCTGCTTGTAATCCCAGCACTTTGGGAGGCCGAGAGGGGCAGATCATGAGGTCAGGAGATCGAGACCATTCTTGCTAACACGGTGAAACCCCGTCTCTACTAAAAATACAAAAAATTAGCCGGGCATGGTGGCATGTGCCTGTAGTCCCAGCTACAGCTACTCAGGAGGCTGAGGCAGGAGAATCACTTGAATCCAGGAGGCAGAGCTTGCAGTGAGCTGAGATCGTGCCACTGCACTCTAGCCTGGATGACAGAGTGAGACTCTGTCTCAAAAAACAAAAAACAACAACAAAAAAAGAATTGACATGATCAGAAAACAGGTAATGAGATAAGGAAAGAGAGGAGTACTGAGCTGTAGGCAGCCAAGGCCTGCAAACCGAGGGGAAGTTTCTGAGATGGGGAAGAGACCCACAGTCACGGCCACTGGGAATCCTGCTGATCGGCATTTGTGGGAAATTTCGGGCAGTGGGTGCTCGTGCACAGACGTGGATAAAGACAGAGAGAGGGCCAGGTGGGTGGTGCATGCCTGTGATCCCAGCACTTTGGGAGGCTGAGGCAGGTGGATTGCTTGAGCTCAGGAGTTCGAGACCATCCTGGTAACATGGCAAAACCCTGTCTCTATAAAAATTACAAAAATTAGCTGCATGTGGTGGTGCATGCCTGTAGTTCATGCTACTTGGGAGGCTGAAGTGGGAGAATTGTTCAAGCCCGGGAGGTGGAGGTTGCAGTGACCCGAGATTGTGCCATTGCACTCCAGCCTGGGTAAGAGTGAGACCCTGTCTCAAATAATAATAATAATGATAAATAAAGACAAAGAGAGGCAGAGCAGGACATAATGAAAACCATCTTTTGCAGAGTTCCTGTCTATGCCAGGAGCTTTACAAGACTGTCTCTAATCCTGACCCTTGCCCTGTGGAAGACATACCCTAATTCCCAATTCCTGATCAAGGAAACTAGCAGTGGTACTCACTGGTAAGTAACAGAGCTGGGATTTGAAGTCAGGAGGATTTGATGCTGAAGTGCCTGATCATTTTATGCAGCCTCTTATAGATGCAGAATGTACAATTTTCACAGAGGGATCCTCAGAAGCTAATGAACCCAAGTTTGTCATTTTATAGATAAGGAATCTGAGGCCAGAAAAAGGAGGGGGAATTATTTAAAACCATCAGGCCAGAGAAGAAATTAGCCTAGTTCTTCTGACCTTTAGTCTAGTGGAATGTCAGGATCTCAGCCTTAAAATAGAATCTTCCAAATTGCCACACCTGTTGTGTACTACTTTTGATGGTTATTATCTTTGGCAGTGCTTCCTTGACATGAATGAATTCTACATGAATTTTGAAGTTGTTTTAGAATATATTTTATACATTATTCATAACATATTTATGTAGCTTGTTTTAAAGCCAAGAGAAACCTAGAGCAATAGCTTCTGCTTTTTGGCTGTGACCCTACATTTTATATCTTATACACACATATATGTAAAAATTGTACATTATATGAATAATTGAAACATGTTTTCTGAAATAGTACTTGTCCTTACTCTGTGTGACACACTTTGGTATTTTCTATTTTCATTTACTCTGTTCTATTTTGTTAAAAATATTCTGGTTATGAACCATCTAAATTGATTTCATGACAAACTAATGAACGGTTCATGACCTACAGTTTGAGACATTATGGCCTAAAACAATGTCAACATCAAACATGATTTAAGAAAAAAGTCATTACAGAGGAGATAGAAAGTTGCCAATTATCTTTGGTCATAAAGGTAAAAATAGTAAGCTTTGAGTTTCATAACATCAAAAAAGAGATTGTATACTTGTAAAAAACAAAGTGGCACAGACTTGGATTCTCTGCAGACCATGGCAGATCTGTGATGCTCCTGGTATTATGTGATGCTGAGTTTTATTTTCTGCCTGGATTTCTGAACTAACTGGATACAGCTACAGATACAGACTAGAGTGGTTGCTAGAACTGCAATGCAGTAGGCCCAGAGCCTGCCTCTCCCTGACCCAGGCAGATGGCCTCTAGTCTCAGGCCCTAGGAAGTGCCCAAGGTGTGTAGAGTGTACATTCATTCCATATAGTGGTGTGTAATTAAGGTCTGATGCTTTATATATTAGCATGATGGTAGGCAACTGACCCTCCAGATCCCCTCCAGAAGCTTGTGCTAATTTCACCTGATGTCGCCAGCTTCCTTAGGTTTGCACTACTTCTTCCTGTAGTCTCTCTTCTTTAGCCTCCTTTCTCCAAAGGGGTATGGAATGGCTGCTCCCACTGACTCCTGACTCCTCCTCCTTATAGCTCCTTCCATTGGTACATCAGCCTACTACACGACAACCAAGTTTTCTCTTACTTCTTTTAGGATCTATATTTTCTCCATCTATCCAACCATCCACATCCATCAGTGCTTCATGCTAGGAAAGTTTTGTCTTAGGGTTAATATTTAATCCAAGACCTGACTCATGAGAATGACACACAACTGAAGACCTGGCAGAACATCATAAGGAAAAAAAAAAAAGGCAAGTGCAGAGCCCTAAGGCAGAAACAGGTCTGGCATGTTTAAAAAGTGAAAGAGCCAAATTGGTAGAGCAAAGGGACCATGGGGAGAGTGGTACCTGATGAGATTGGAGAAGGTGTTGACCAATCAGAGCAGTCATGAACAGGTAGAGACCAAGTCATGAGGGGCCTTGTGGATCATAGTAAGGTATTTGAAATTTATTTTTGTTGTAGTGGGAAATCATTGAAAACCTTTAAAAAGAGGAGCAACACAATTGGATTTACGACTTAAAAAGACTTGCTCTATAAAACTACAATGAGATACCACCACACACAGGTCAGAGTGGTCAAAATCCAAAACACTGAGAGCATCGAATGCTGGTGAGGATGTGGAGCAACAGGAAGTCTCTCATTGCTGGTTGCTGTGCAAAAATGGTACAGCCACTTTGAAAGATACTTTGGCAGTTTCTTACAGAAGTAAACATATTCTTAGCATATGATCCAGCAATTGTGCTTGGTATTTACTCTAATGAGTTGAAAACTTATGTCCACACTTGTGGCCACACAAAAACCTGCACAGAGATGTTTATAGCAGTTTTATTCTTAATTGTCAAAAATTAGAAGCAACCACAATGTCCATCAGTAGGTGAATAGATAAATAAACTGTGGTAGATCCAGACAAGGGAATATTATTCAGCACTGAAAAAAAGTGAGGTGTCAAGTCATGTAAAGATATGGAGGCAACTTAAATATGTATTACTAAGTGAAAGGAGCCAATCTGAAAAGGCTGCATACTGTGTGTGTGTGTGTGTATACATATACATACATATACATATACCATTCTAGCTGGTGTGTGAAGAGTAGATTGTATAGGGTCAAGAATCAAGAAAGGAGGCAGGAAGTCCAGTTAGAAGGACCTTACAGTAGACCAGTTGAGAGATGTCAGGGACTTAGATTAAGATTTTGATGATTAATATTGTGAGAAGTAGTCAAATTTGGGATATACTTGGAAACATTGTCACCAGGACCTGCCAGTGAATTAAACATGGAGTATGAGGGAAAGAGAGCAATCAAGGGTGATTTTAAGATTGCTGGCTTCAACAATTGTGCAAGTAATAATGTCATGGACAAAGATGAAGACTTAGGGAAGAGGAGATTTGATGTGTGTGTGTGTGTGTGTGTGTGTGTGTGTGCACAACAGGGTAGTAGGGTAGAGAGAGAGAGCAGGAGGGAGAAAGCTATCAATAGATCTTTTGGGACCATATAAGATTTGAAATGCCGATGACCATGTGGAGACAGTTTCAAATATCTGTCTGGAATTTGTGGGAGATGTATAAACTAGTGTATAGGTTTGGGACTATCAAAGCAATGATGCTGGTTATAATAATGAGACTGAAATCATCCAGAGGGAGAAAGTAGTTGGGAAGAGATGAAGGCTGCATTCAGAGCCCTAGGTTGAGCACAATAGGAGATTACAGCAAAGGAGAAGGAATGGTCATTAAGGTAGATGAAAGACAAGACAAGAATAACATCTTAAGAACTTAGAAAAGAATGCATTTCAATTTCCTCCTCCTAAGAGGTTAAATGTGTTGAGGACTGAAAACTTATCAGTGGTCTTGGCAAAACGTAAGTCTTTGGCAACCATGATAAGAGCCATTTTTGGTGGGTAGAAATGATGTAAGCCCAGCTGGGGTGAGTTGAAGAGTCAGTGGGAGATAAGGGGGTAATTGCAGGAACAAGGTCCTGAGAAGCTGAGAGGAGATGAATTCTGGAGCAGAGAGAATGGTTTGTTTTGCTTGGAGGAGAAACAACATATTTTCACCATATCCCTATGGCAAGAGAGTGAGTGATGGCGGGAGACATTTGCTGAGAGTGAGGTTTTAGATGTTTAAGGGAGTAGAGAAGATCTATTCTAGAAGAGAGACAATGTAGAGAAGACAGCATAGTTGTCTTGGAGACTTGGAAAGCGAATCCACCAGGCAAGAAAGTAGGATTACTGGAAGTGTAGACACCTGTGCTTACAAATGTAAAGCAAATCCAATCATCATGATCATGATGTGATTTCCCCAGCAGTGTTGGTTCATTGGGTACAGACTCAGAGTAAGCAGATGGCTGGTTTTATTCACGTTCAGATCTTTCTGGGCTAGTGTGATATACAGAGAAAATGGGGTAAAGGAGGTAAACATGTGTTAGGGGGTAGATATAGTGCTGACCAAGGCACCTGAGCTGGATGGGGAAGAGGATGAGATCATGTGTGTGTGGGAAGTAGGGGGTGAGTAGGTGATGGTGGTGAGAAAGGGAAAGGGACCATGGATTGAGCATCTCAGTGAGGTCCGCATTGCTGGAGTGGGTGCTCTTGAATAAGAGAAGAGGTGGTCATAGAGAGGAGCAGCTTGACATCGCAGAGGGGATGCAGTTATTGGTCGGAGTAACTGGATGAAAAGATAGAAAGTAACCATGGGAGTTGGTGGCTGTGGTGGGATGGAGGAAAAGATCATTGAATCGGATGGAATCAAGAAATGGAGGCACCGATGTGCTGTGCATAGGTTTTCTATCCATGTGGATGTTAACATGTTAACAACAAGAGCCACATGCTAAAGTCATCAATGAATGGGGAGGAAGAATGGGGAGAACTGTAAATGACCAAGGTGAACAGTGGGTGGTCAAGTCTGATGACTTGCACTTCAAAGAAGCAAGGGCTTTGAAGGAGGAAGAGGCAATGGGAAGCAAAGAGGACACCTACCTCCCTTAAGACCCTTTAGGTGTAGAAGGGAAAATACAGCATCTAGTTGACAGGATTCCAGGGCAAACAATGTCTTTGGGGATGGTTAGAACAAGATGGAGAAGGGATTGTCCCCAAAGGAGGTGATGACTGAGCAGGCTCTGGAAAGAGGGGACATGCTAGTTAACTAGATGAACAAGGCAGGGAAGGGCTTTCTATGCAGAAGGAAACTTGTGTGCAAATTGTTCCAAAACAAGAAAAAGCACAACGTAATTGAGAGGCATAAGAGCCCTTTACAGATGCCTTTGGGGTGGCTATAAAGAGTGGGAAGGGCAAGCTAAGACTGGGAGAGACTGGGTGCCATGTGAAAGAACTAGGACTTCAGGAGCCCTTGGAGAGTTCTAAAGAGAGGAACAACATTGGGTTTCAGAAAGATCACTGGGGCATCAGCATGGAGCATGAAGAGGCTGGGGACCACACTCGAGGCATGGAGACTGTCTGGGGGCTGTTGCCACAGTCCCTAAAGACAGCTGGGAGGGCTCATCTCTCTGGATGGGGATATTTTGACTCCCTGTGCCTGTCTCTTAGAATCTGGGTAGATTTTTGAGGCTGATTATTCCCACACATACTTTAAGGATGGATTAACTCTAATTGCCTGCTAAGAAATGGACTAACTGGTTGTATTCTGGAAAGGGGCTGGGCGTCCATTTTCAGAGAAAGAAAAAGGGAGGCCAGAAGTGTATTTTCCTTCTTGTTCTGTTTCCTGGATGGGACTTAGGACCACCAAGAGACAAATAAGCATAAAAGATGATGGATCTGAGGTGGGGGAGGAGAGGGCCATAGGGGGTGGCACCTTTCTGGGCACAGATGTGAGCAGGCCTCAGCTCTGTCATTAAGGACTTTTCCTGTGTGCATTAAATTCACTCCATGCAGAACTGTGCCCTGCCATTTACCCCTTTACCCCTCACTGGCTGCCACCTGTCTTCTAACCCCCACAGTACCTGGCCTGTGGCTGTGGTAAGTGTTCTGTGTTATTTGCCCTTGGCAGTAACTTTTCTGAGGCCTTTTCCTCCACATAATTCCCATGTGGAGCCATCTTGGTTAGTAAGCTGTTTGAAGCAATTTGTCATGTTGGAGTTTTAAACGAGAAAAGGAAGGCACAGGGATGCCTCTTTCCTCAAAGCCAATCACAAACAGTTTTTCTGAACATTTAAAAATATTAGATCTGGAGTTCAAAACTGAGTGTCACTTCAGCAGTCATTTATGACGCTCCATATCCTGCCCATCCGAGTTCAGCTTCAGCTACAGACTCTGGGCTTAGTTTCCAGAGGCCCCCGCAGGCTGCACCATGAGTGAGGACTGTCTGAACTCCATCTTGAGCCCGGAACAAGCCCAGAGTTTGCTCTCTGGCCTTAGGTTAGCTGGAGTGGGGGAACATGGAGGGAACACAGGTTAGCTGGGAGAGTGGGACAAGGTACACGAGGGCCGTGGAGGCCGGGCATGACGTTTAAATCTTACAGACCAGGGGAGTGACCAAAAGAGTCGTCTGTGTGTGAAGGAACTGAAATGATTGGAGCTGGCCTTGCTCGACTGTCACCTCTTCCGGGACAGCTCTTGACGGAAGCACTGACCTTAGCATGGGCTCCTGGGCAGCCTGCCACAGAGCCGTCATCTCTGGGCAGCAGCAAAGGACTGTCAGTTGGTTGGGAAGGTGGACTATGTCTCCCTTGGGCTGAGGTCATTATGAGAGCGTATGTGACCCTAGACACTGAAGCTACACAAGATTCAGCCACAAACCTCACTTGGGCCAAGGACTCCAGCGTCTTACCCAGGCCCTTGGTCCAGAATAATCGTTGCTGCCTAAAAGCAACAAGAACATTTTGTCTCATTGTTTTGCTTCAGTCTCCTTGGGCACAGGCATCTGGCAACAGACACTGAGCTTCCTTAGCCACAGGGCACAGTTCTGTAGACTCGAGGCTGGGGTTGAGGCTGCTCCACCAACGGCAGGAGTCCTGGGCTTCCCCAGAGTAAGCAGCAATCCTGCTCCTGGAGATGGCCTCAGAGCCGAGACCTGGCCGCCCTGGAGCTGCTTTCTGATGCACACTTTCCCTTCCTTGTGCCCTCCTTACTCGCCCCCATACCCCTCCCCGCCCCACACACAAGCCTCAGTTACTCACTACACCATTCACACACAAACACATCCGGCCTGATGCACATGCATGGTCACACACATACACCACAGTACACACCACACACTTTACCACCCATCCCTCCATAGCACGGGTCCTCCCACACACCATACCCACCACACCATACCCATGCTCCCACTTACACTGGGTCACTGCCTCTCAACTGCCAGCCAGCACACACCTCACAGGTAGGTTCCCCCAATGTCATACTCTCCACACGACTGCACACACCACTCCCTCGGGGTGCCAGGCAGTGACACACCTGTCATCAAGCTTTTGATGGGGGTCTCCACCCAAAGCCACATGCCCTCAGCACTGCTTGCTCAGCCTTCTGTTATAACCAGGGCAGCTGGGGATGGCCCTGCCAAAATTGTCAGGGGGTTGATGATGTGTCTACGTGAGAGAGAGAGAGAGAGAGAGAGAGAGAGGAGAAGGGCATGATTTGGAAAATACTTCCAGAATTTGAAAGCAAACTTATAATATTTCCTCAATTTGTGATCCATTTGTGGCCCTCATGTTGCTAAATATTGCATGATAGAGTAAACATTTGGCAAGACCTGCAGGTTTTATTTAGAAGATTGGGGAGAAAAAAGCTACTCAACAAGGAGTGAGCTGGTGTGTCCAGGAGAGATAAAAGGTATTGTGCATGGAAGATTTTAGTGGAAATGGGAAACCAGGGCCCTGAGCAGATCTGTCAGCCAGTTACAGGAAGGACTAAACCTTTTAGCTGGCTGGGGAGACCGGCTCTGTGTCCTGGTGCTTCCCCCAACTCACGTGTAGGTGGCGTCTTCCCACTGACTGTCCAGGGGCCAGGCAAACACTGGAGCATCTTCATCAGAGAGGCATTTGGGGGGCACGCCATAGATTACCTGAAGCTCTTCTCCGCCCCTCCAAGTGTGGCAGGTTTTTAAAATCCAACTGCGGGCTACCTCCCAGGATGGCTTCCTTGACCTCTGTTCTCACTCCTCAGAGCTCCATTAGCACCAACAGCCTGGAGCCTGGAACTTGACAATTCATCTGCAGTGTTCCCTAAGCAACATGATGAACCCAAAGCTGTACTAGAGATGGAGGAGAGAGCAGTAATCAAGGCAGACTTGCTTCCTGCTACTGTGGGGGACAGAGATAGTAAATAATAATAATAATAATAATAATAATAATAATAATAATAATAACAACAACAACAACAACACATGGTTGAGAAACGCCAGAGGAGTGATTTGTGTCGTAACTCTCAGAGAACAGAACCGTTATAGGAAAGACAAGTATTGTTTTCTAGAAAAAAGAAGAAAGGGGAGGAGTAGAAAAACTTGAATTGTATATCTGGGAAAGAAGTGCCATTTTTTTCCCGAGCCAGTTCAGCATATTGAAACTTGCAGTTGTCGGCGCCTAGTGGAAGTGCAGTCTTTCCTCTGAATTCGTGGCAGCTTCTGGAGCAAATGGCCAGGCCTGGACTTTCTTCGGGGCAAGGGCAGTCGTAAAGCGGCACAAATGCTAGCTGGCTGGTGCTGGGCACCAGGGCGCCGTGCCAATGCTAACCTGCCAGTGTGCTAACCTGAAGCAAGGTAGCAAGACTTGCTGCATCTTCTAGACCCTGCAAGACATGCTGCTCATAATGGGAACTGGAACTTCACCACTGAGGGTAGAGATGATCAGATAGAAGGGTTCCAGGTGCCTTCTCCAAAGAACAGATGCTCTTGGAGAATGATCTTTGCGTGGGCTGAGAAGTGGTGAGGAGCCCTAGGCTATTCTGCACAGATGGTGGACTCTGCTCCACGCCAAGGAAGGCTTATGGTGAGGAAGAATGACTCACGACGATGCTAAATGCAGTGAGGATAAAAGCAGTGTCACTTGGTCAGGGATTGTTTCTTGGATCCTCTAATTCACTTACTCTCTAATGGTCATCTCTTATCACTGACTTCTGCGTCCCATTGATTTTGGAGTGTGTATGTATTAGGGTAAATGTCTGCTACTTTTTAGAATCTTGGAATCATAGACTTTTGGGGCTGGAAGTATCCTTAGAGATCATGAATCCCACGCTTTTATTTTTGATAGATGGTGAATGGAAGGCCAGAGAAGGGAAGGAACTTGCCCAGGTTCATACAACAGGCTAGCGGCAGAGGTGGGTCCCAGGCTTCTTGCCTCCCGGGACAGGGCTCGCTGACTTTGCCTAATTACCCAAATCTGTCCCAATCTGAAATCAGAGTCTCTGGCTAGGGATCTAACAGCATTCCGGAACCCAGTCGTAAATCCCCAAGCCCCGCAGCCACTCTGCTCTGACATTTGTTGTGTTTTACTGCCAAATGCTGCTGCTCAGAGATGCCATCTCCGGAGGGAGAAATTCTTGAAAGAGACACACCCCTTTTTTCCCTTTCCCAAATTAGGAGTTAATTAGTACCAAAATGTGCAGTGCGTTGACCGGCCTTCCACTGGGTTCCCAAAGCAGAGAACTGTCTCATTTTGAAAGTACCTAATTGTGCCTGCATCTCTGTTTGGAGAAGGGAGTCTCTAGGTCTGGTCCAGGCACCCTCAGGGACAGATCTGTTAACTCGCTGTCACCTTCTTTTGAGATACAATCATCTTGTAACTCTGAGCAATAAAACGAGTAATTGTAGGCCTTTTGAAGCAAGGCTGTGTGCCCTGGCCGGTTTGTTTGCCCTGAAAAGCCTCCAGTCTGGGTGGCTGGCCCCATCGCCTGCTCATCCATCTGCCCAGAGACTTCTTCCAAACCCCCACCGTCTCACTCCTCACTTCAAGCTCACAGGGAGCCCCCTCCTTTTAATCCACGTTTTTTGTTTTGTTTTGTTTTGTTTTGTTTTGTTGTTGTTGTCGTTGTTGTTCCCAGGGCTCCACATTTCAGCAATAATTTTTTTACCCAAATGTCTAGCTGTTGGCCTAGGGAGGCTCTCCTTCCTCGCAGTTGGAAGAAAGCTGTGTCTGTCTGTTGGAATGCAAGCTTCCCAGAAAAGCTGTGGGTGCCCCAGTTCCACGTTTTGTACCCCCCCTACCCCACGCCCCCGAGCTATCCTCTATGCCAGCTCCTCTGTCCGGGAACTTTTGAGTGTCATGGGGCTGGGGGTGTCAGCCCATAGTGGGTAGGAGGGTCGCTCGGTTCAGGAACAACATTTGTATGACTTTGAATTTAAATGAAGGTCTCAAAAGACAAAACTAATTAAGATTTACTCAGGCCGCCATTGTCTGATAATGCAGTACCAGCTCATTATTGGAACCACATTTATGGAGGTTTAATCACTATGAGACAGACTGCTCTGGCATAGCTGTCAAACCACACAAAATGTGTTTTTAATAATTAATCAGTACAGTATCTTGTCATTGTAGCATTCATCTCAGGCTTGGGTGTGTTTTTAAAGGGATGCTGTCAATGTACTTTTGAAATTCTGTCGTCTTTTGTTTTTAATAACTCTTCAGATCCTTTAAGCAAGGGGAAAGGAAAAAACATTCCTCCATGAATTCCATCCCTGAACCCCTCATGATGAACAAATTCTGGAATGTGATTGAAGCGTTCCTGGGATCCGGTGCTGAGCTGCTGACATTTTGTTTTTCAAAGGAAGAAAAAAAAGTTGTGCATTCAATATTTGTTTTCTTTTCATGGAATCTGCAGGCGTCGAAGGATGGTGAGTTAGGCTTGGGGTAGAGGCTCTTTCTGTCTTTAAGGCTGTAAGCCTGGGATCTCACGTATAGGCACTCAGGCAAAGGTGTTTTGAGCAGGCTGCGGTTTTTAGATAAAGCTGTGGCTTTGGAAGAGACCTACTGAGTGAAACTTGGATTTTGACTATTTTCCCTACTTGGGCTGGGGAAGGCCAGGAAGAGCTGTGCTTTCTCTGCCCCGGAGACCTCCCTCTCACCTTGCTACCATACAGAGGGTTTGTGAGGATCAGACAGAATCACCTATATGGAGTTACTTTTCATTCTGTCCAATGTCTCCCCTAAGCCCGCAGCTGGGAGATTGTCACTGTCTTTAATACTAAGATTGTCATTGGGTTGATGTAAACAGTGCAGGTCCAGACTGAGTTGGCTTGAGTTCAAATCTTGGCTTAGTGCCAGCCAGCTGTTTGATCTTAAGTAAGTCATTTGTCCTTTATTAAGTCGCAGGTTCCCTGCCTACAAGCTAAGGATGACATTTGTGGCTGCTTCACTGGTTCCTGTGGAGTCAAAGAGATGATTCATGTAAGAAGCTCAGCACACTGCTGGGAGCATGCGGCCCTCAGGGAGCATTAGTGTAGGTTGTTGTCAGTGCATGAGCCCCGGTGGCCTTTGCCCTCCTTTCCCTTGGCCTTAGAGCTCGCTGGTGTGAGAATTTGCCTGAGCAATCTTACATCGGTCAGAGGGGCCCTGAGGCCGGCAGTCCCCTTTTGCTCTGTCATCTCAGTTTCTATCTGTATTTGTCTAAGGCAGTGGCTCTCATCCAGGGGCCGTTTTGTTCCCCAGGGGACATTTGGCAATGTCTGGAGACACTTTTAGTTGTCAGAATATTGCGGAGGGAGGGGCGACGTGTTGTGGGCATCTAGTTGGCAGAGGCCAGAGATGCTGCTAAACGTTCTACAGTGCACAAGACAGCCCCTACAACGGCATTATCTGGCCCCAAATGTGGTGCTACAGTTAAGAAACCCCATTCCAAAGCTACCTCTCCTTACCATGAGGTTCTGAATAAAAAGGCCCGTACCTACACTCAGATGGTGACATTCTTAGGAGGATCACAGAAGGTTAACTAATTCACAAACAAGAGGCCCTGGTGCAGTAGAACAAGACAAAAAGCACCGTTCTGGGTCTGCTAATTCCGTGGCCATGTATTACCTCTGAGGGATTCATCAAAAGGAGAAAGGGGACCCTCCCTTCCACTCCCAGCCCTATATTCAATGCCCCAGGATGGAGTTGCTGGCCAGATATCAGGGCCATACTGTGCCTTGTTGTTGCTCAGTTTCCTCATAAGACTGTCTAGACAGTCAGAAACTGCCCTTGGCTCTACACCATGCCCAAAACAGCTTCCTGGAATTCCTGAACTCTCTCACCTCTCCATGCCTATCATAGGTACCCACGTTCTTGGCCTGGGTTCTGACCTTGATAAATGGCTCTGTGTCCACTGAGTGCCCTCAACAGTCCATTGAGAACCATGTTTGATGACATGGGTGTGTAGTTAGCCATTCTTGGTACTTCCACCCCTGTGGGGGCTGACGGGCTCCAGATCTGTACTGCAGGGCTTATTTCTCCCCCTGGGACCACTGTCTGTTGCCCTAGCCAGATTATCTGGGGAGATCGTCTCCTGTAGCAGAGAATTCACTTGGGGTGACAATCAAGGTTTAAAAAACGATGGCCAGTCTTGCTGCCTTAGAGAGGTTTGCAGATGGATCGATTAGACCTGAGTACCTCTCTGCTTCTGAAGTGTGTCTAGTCAGTGCCCAGCTGGAAAATTCAAAGTGCAGGCTCTGGAACCCTGCACTCATTGCCCTGCAGCTCTTATGGAGGCCAGCCCAGAGGCGGAGAGAATCTCTGCTGGGGGTTAGGTTGATGGGATGACGTATACTAGGAAAACAGGCTCAAAATGTTTCCCTGGGACTTTTGCAGCCATGGCTCCAGTTGTAACAATACTAAGATTGCTTCTTCCCTCCTCATCCCACTGTGGCCTGGGTGTAGGTGAGAAAGGGACAGTTGTGTGACTCATTCTTAATCTATCCCAAGAACCTACCTTCTTCCAACTAGGGCAGGGAGCATCACATGGCTCGTCCCATTTATAAAGAGCCCTTTATGACCCACCACGTCCTTCCACTCCTGTGAGCTTTCTGAGATCCACCATAATGGACAGTTAAATACTCTCTGCATATAAGGAGGTAGGCTCAGAGAGGTTAAATGCCTTCCCCAAGGCAACCAGCTAGAGAGGAACAGAGCTAAGACTCAAAGCCAGGACGTCTAATTTCCCTTGAAGAGGGGACCTAGGAGAAGCCCTGCATGATCTAAAGCAAGGCAGCTCCAGCCAGTACTACGCTGTCCAAGGCAATGCATTTTAGAGGACTCCACTTGGACCCTTGTCCGACCATTCACTCCTAGGACAAAGAGTCTTTCAGGTTGATGGAATGTGTTCATCCTAAACCTGGTCCCACTCCACCCTCACATGCTTTGGGTTCCTAAGACATTGGAATTCTCTGCTCCAGTGGCCTTGAGTCCACCTCCAGAGCCTGTGTGGTCCTCTCCTTGGGAGGGCAGACCTGGCTGCTGATATGTGAAACCCTAGGCCCCAGGTGGGCTCAAGGGGTGGCTGTTTGTGGGGATGCACATGGAGCTTGAACGTGTGGCCTGCTGACTATGATGGTAAATGGGCCTCCTTATATATTCTAGCCTTGGGCTAGAAGTCCTGGTTCAGTCTTGGAGGCTCTGTGGTCCCAGAGCTGTACACAGCCTAAGCCTACATCATCAATGCAGCTACCCACCCTCCCCCAGCCTCACCTTCCACCATCTGGGCTGTTCCTGAAGCAGCAGCCTCTGATCACAGTCTCCCTCCCACCCATCACACGCTGCCATATTGTTGGAGTCGAAAGAATAGGAAAGCACTTGGAATGTGACTGAAACCGTATGTAGCTGTATATTGTTTTTCCCAGAAAAGAATCCTAATTAGGTCAATTCCATATTGCTCCTATGGTCTCAGATGCACAGTAAAGCAGGCCTTCACAGTATACAAACAGCCTCTGTCTCTGAGGATGGAGGGAAGGGGAGAGACTGCCTCGAAAAAGACCCCACATGCTAATACAGAATGGATTCGTCACAATCACTGAGACCTGATGAGCCACTCAGTGTGGACTAACTTATTGTAAGCCCTCAACAAACGCAAAAGCCTTAACCCAGCAGTAACTTGCCAGAGACCATATCCAATAGGACCTGTGTCTTTTTCTTTGCATTTAATGTGTTCTGAGGTTCAGGGGGGCTATTTTCCCAATTGTTACACATCTCTTTCTTTAGCTTTGATCTGAGCTCCTCATACACATCCCAGCACTGGGACTTTCAGCAGCAGGCGTCCTGGAAGCCTACTTTGGTAACAGGACCTAGGTAAGCCATGCTATTCTGCAAAGGGAACAATTATGTTCCCCCAAACACACAGAAGCATCAGAATTCACAGCATGCACTTTACAAGGGCAATAAAGTTTTATATGCAGCTCAGTGAAATACCGAATACAGCCAATTGTCCACCAAAATAAACTGATGGGAGAGAGAATGGCTATATTTGGCTCAGACTTAATTATTTTGCATTTGTACTTCTCAATTCCATGTAATAAAATTCCATTCTGCCCTTATTTCCTGGTTAGGTTACTTAATCTCAACTTCGGTAACTGAGCCCTTGAGTGGAGTAGACTGTCCAATGTCAGTGGTAAGAAAATGTGAAAGGTTTGACATCAATTACAACATTACACACAACATAAAATTTAACAACTTGAATCAGGCTTTCATTGCTCTTTAAAGAGACCGTATGGCTTTTTAAGATCTAAAAATTAATCAGTTTCTAAGAGTCATACCTTTTTGAAAGTCCCAGATTTTACTCTTAGCTTGAGAGGTAAGAGGGAACCTGTCTCTATCTCTGTCATCTCTCTTTCATTTTAAAAAATCGCCTCCCTTTCATTTAAAAAAATGTTCCCCTTTTCATTTAAAAAATGCTATCTAAGTTCTTTTGTTTTTATTTTTCTAGGGAGGTGATTTTCCTTTAATGAAAGAAAAAGTGAAGGATATAGAAATTGAATTGTTGTGCTAAGGTTTTAAGTTTTTGGGGGGACCATGGCAAAAACACAATGATCTTACATTTGGCCACGAATGAGGGCACCCCGGGCAGCAGCCAGTGGCGTCACTAGGACCAGGAAGGCTCTGAGGACCCCTGCTTTGTGGTCTGTGTCAGAATCTGTATGGCAGCTTTCACTCCATTGCTACTTGACACTTGATCGTCTCATAAAACACCACATGTAATTCAGCAGTGTCGGCCCATAACAGGCCAACATGTGGCAAGAACAGGAGTAAATGACCTGCCTCCTTTAATAAGTGTGGTCTCTGCAGGTCAGCCCTGAGGTCAAAGGCAGAGCAACAGGGCAGACAGGGCGGCAGCTGTGCGTTCTGGCAGAACACGGGAACTGAGCCTGGTGAAGATATGTCTGCTTTCTTTCTGCTTCTCTCAAGACGGATGATGTATAAAGTGAGATTGTAAACTGACTGAACGTGGTTGCATGTCCTATTTGAATTTGTATTCCCAGCATAACTTGGATCATGGCACACTGAATGAACGTCTTAGACACAAATAACCATACTGATAGACCGATGTGATGCCCCATCATCCTTCAGTGTTGCCATCACCCTGATATCCCCTGATCTTGTCACGGAAAGGCATGCATCAGGAAGTTTCTGTTAACCATGGGCCGAACGCTGAGTGCTCTTTGAGGAAGGAGGATGCATGCCAGAGTGTGTTGAGGACTTGAGTGACCACAGCAGGGTCCCTCTCTGCGTCCATCCTGCTGCATCTTATTCCTAGAGATTTCCCATCTGCTCTGCCCGGTTTGGAAGAAATAGGCATCTTCTTCATATAAGAGTCCTCTCTGCAGGGCACCATTCACCTGGCCCATCCTTTCCTTTGCCAATCAGTGCTGCCCAAACTACAGCAGACAATCACATTCTGCCCTAACATGCTCATGAGCCTTAAATAAAAAGTGTTCTGAAAATCCCAGTAATTGCTTTGACCTTTGAAATATTGTTTTCTTGTATGAAAACCTGAGGATAAAGCTGGTCAGTTTGATAATGGTCACATGTTATCACATGCAGCTAAACCCTTGGTAAGGTCAGGACTTAATTACCAGAGACTCAAGAACCAGCAGCCCTCAGAAAAGGTCAACTGGGGTTTCTCCTTTTTTCTCCAACCACAGCATCTACAAGAAAAAGGCAAAAAAAAAAAAAAAGAAAAAAGAAAAGAAAAGAAAAGAAAAAGCAACATAGTACACCTGTGCCAAAGGATTAGTCTGGAAAGCAATATACAGGGTATGCCTCCTTGGGGGCATCATCGTCAGGACAATCTCCCTCTTTGTCCCTAGTCCTATTTGTGGGACTCTGGGGAAAATGAGTCCCCTGTACTCATGTGTGGGAGCCACCATGCCTAGCACCAGGGCTAATGCATTTTAGAAAAACTTGAAACACATCACAAAGGTATAAACAGAAGTTTAGGCTTCAACCACAGATAGCCAGAAAACGAAATTAACCCTCGGCACTAACACGCACTACCTTCTGTGATGAATGTTTTAAATCGACTTACATTTTTTGGAGCAGTTTTGAGTTTGCAGCAAAATTGAGCAGAAAATGCAGAAAGCTCCCATAACCTCCTGTCCTGCAAACACATCCTTCCCCACTATCAATTTGGGTCACCATAATGGTACATTTGTTACAACTGATGAGCCTTCGTTGACAAATCATTATCACTCAAAGTCAGTAGTTTACATGAAAGTTCACTTTTGGTGTTGTTTATTTCATGGGTTTTGATAAATGTATAATAACATGTATCTGACATTTGAATTTGGTTTTTACTTAAGTTGTCTTTTACAAAAGGTAATTTTGGTAACAACCCAATTAAAAAAAATCCTCATTTAAAAAAATCACAAAATAAAAGAAATCTTGCTATTTAAAATATTTTAATTAATATCTGAATTTACTGTTATTCCTTCTGGAAATAAATTAGTGATGGAATAAATAATGAATATAGACAGCAGTGGTACTATCCATTAGAAAACATTTAATCCACAACCGGGAGAATTAGAGGCAACAAAACCATTTTTATTACCATGCTTATCACAAATCCCCCACATAATTTTATGAGAAAGGTCATTAAACTTGTAGCTACTGCATTATCTTTTTCCTTGGACCATTTCTGAAACAACATTAGTTTTTCACACTTCTTTACATTTCAAACATTAAAAAAGCCTTAATCGATGCTTTTACATAAAAAGCAAAGGGCTAGGTTTCCCACCATAAAACGTTATGTTGTTTACACAAAAACTGCAGCTAACCTCGTAAAACTCAAGTGATTTCCCAGTGGGGTCCTGCAGGGACACTTGGCTATAGCAGGCGCCACACTGATTTCCAACGCTGAGGCAAAGCGTACTTCCTGTGGAAAGCTGTTCTCAGCTCCGGCCATTACTAATCAGGCTTTTCGACTGGGGCACCCCAAACAGGCATCTTCTCTCCATTCAAGGCCTGCAAAAGACACCTCTAAGCAACTAGGAAAACAATGTAAGGTAGAAAAATTCCACACAAATATTAATTCTTGCAGTCCCATTCATCTTTATCTCCAGACTCCTGAGACCAGAGCTTTCTGGAACCCCTACTGCGTCCTTGGGGTCAGCTTCCAGGACAACTCTCTTGGATAGAAATGATAGAATGTCTTTGGAGAGAAGAACTGCCCACTGGTATCACACTTTCCCAGAAACCACATGTTCTTTCAAAACCTTCCATTAGGTGTCAGCGGCTCTTAAAATATACGAATGGCAAGATTTTTTAAATCTTTGCTTCCTGAAGTTGAGTAATCAAGCCAAAATGCTCTGGAAAGCTAAAAGTCATTGACTGTTTTCAAATGTCTGGTTTTCAGATAAAAACCAGGATAGGTATTTTTTTTAAAAGTTAATTGCTGCTTCTCTTATGAGAGTGAATATATGAACCACTTTTCCAGTTTTAAGTTTGAAGGTTGGGTGTTTGCTTTCAATCATGCATAACAATTTATTTGCAACTTCAGGGAATTGTTTTCATGTAGAATAATTTTGTAAATAAGGGATATTTTAAGAATCTACCTCATGACCACCTTCTTTGTGGATACTCACTCAGGAATCTCACTAGACCATCCCTTATTATACTGAGCAGATACAGGGAGAATAACACAAATAACACAAGTGCTTTCTTTTTTTTTTTTTTTTTTTTTTTGAGACAGAGTCTCATTTTGTCACCCAGGCTGGAGTGCAGTGGTGCGATCTCGGCTCCCTGCAACCTCCACCTCCCGGGTTCAAGCGGTACTCCTGACTCAGCCTCCCAAGAAGCTGGGACTACAGGTGCCCGTCACCATGCCCAGGTAATTTTTGTATTTTCAGTAGAAATGGGGTTTCACCATGTTGGCCAAGCTAGTCTTGAACTCCTGACCTCAGGTGATCTGCCTACCTTGGTCTCCAAAAGTGCTGGGATTATAGGTGTGAGCCACTGCGCCAGGCCCACAACAGTGTCTTTGAAGCTATCGAGCAAGAAGGATTTACTCTGCCTTATATGATTCCAAAGTGTTTACATGTTGAGGACTTTGGAACTCAACTTTGTTTCTTTCGAGCCAGAATTAGAACATGGGCCTTCTAACTACAGAACCCTTCTCTTGAAGATTATGCTATAGTGCCCTTGAGGAAGTATAGAGGGAAGAAGAGCCAGGCCTAGTCTTCCTCAAGATAAGTTTAAAGTCTAGTTGGGAATATAAAACAGAAATGCATACATGAAGACTAATAATACAAGGTAATTGTTGATGGGATGGTGTGGTTAATAAATACTGATGACAAACAAAGAAGCTAAGTTGTTAGGGATGGTTTGCTATTAATAGATGACCTGGGACTTTATCTGGGACTTAAAAGATCAGTAAGATTCATCTAGGCATAAGAAAGAGAAAAGGCCAGTGATGACCAGACAGATCAGATAGGATAGAGTACAGCTTAAGTATGGAAAGATAGGCTAGGGTCAAATTATGGAGAATCTTGAAAGGCAAACTGTGGATTTTGGAGAGGCTGGAGTAGACACTCGCTAAACTTTAGTTTTCTCTCTCTCGATGTCTTTCTGTGCTAGGTGCTATAGTTTCCTGAAAGGGTAATAATAATTATTTTTAAAGTGGTCTAATAATGTACTGACTTGTTTTTCTGCTTTTCCTGGATCTTTTGGAATAATGGTACATTAATTTCATAATAGTCCAAATAATCTTTATGGACATGATATACAAGTAGTCCTTTTTCCTGGGGGCATAAGTACATTCTCCTAGCCAATCTCACGTAGACTATATGGTCTCAGTGTCCACCATTTTTCCTCTTCAGTTATTTTAAAAGTATCATAAAGATTATTTTTGCGCAACTATATAGGGTGCATAGAAGCGTTTACTTTTTATGTTTTAAAGGATTTTTAGTGTGTCCGAGAACAGTTGGAGATTTCCTTCATCTAAAGTCCATAGCTCTGGGGTCCTTGAAGGTAAATGCAGTCCTTCTCTAATCAGATTTTCACTTTAAACAAAAAAGTTCTGTGATTCCTCCAAGGCATGGAAGGATGAGAGTTTCTAATCAGATGAGCTCCCATTTGTCTTTCAAATTTCACAATCCTACAAGGAAGCTTTGCTCACAGTTGTGTGAAGGTGATTCTGAAAGCTGAAGGGAGTTAGACATGGGAAGATAATTCCCAAAATAGTGAAAAGGAAGATTTTATTATTTTGTTGCTTTTTTTCCTTTTTGGTAAGAAGGAATTTGGTGGAGTTAGTTATTTGGCAGTGCATGTTTGGGCTGAAAACATCAATTTTCTTTGCCAAGCTTCCTAAAAATAGTCTTTCTTCAGGCGAGGGCCCTCTCAACGTGAGCAGTGTTCATATGAAATAGGACATGTTGCGTTAATGTAATTACCTATTGACCTGAAGATTTCAATTGCAATGAGACAAAAAATGTGGAATTATACTTCTTGCAAAGTTATGAGCTCTCCTTGTTCTGTGTGTTTAACAATAAGTTCTTTCATGACGTGACACCATGGTAGTGGGTGGTGAAATCCGATACCTGGCAAAAATACAATGGAATTATATAATACCAAAAAAGTCGATTGTTTTCCCTTTGGCTAATTAACTCCTCTGACCAGGGAAGTACTGAGGATGAGGTCAGCTGGTGGCTTTTGTTCTCCAAGTAGTTTCCATGCCCTTTTAGTCACTGCCTGAATAGTGTGTGGTTATAAAAGGAAGAAGTCCAGGTACTACTGGAGCACAACCTAGAATGGGTGTTGCTATGGTTTGGTAGCAGCTTTACTGACTTCATGGAATTCGTCTTGCTGGGATCCTGCCCATCACTCAGGCTTGAGTCAGTAAGTCAATGTCCATAGCTCTGCTCCTTCATTTCCCCAGGATTTTTTGCACACTGGTATATAATAGTGCAGGGGCACACAGGACTATTTAAGAAAATATATATACATTTTTTTTTTTTGCCAGCTAGAGGCCTGACATGAGAATTTTGATATAATTGGGATGCAAACAACCCAAATGCAGTAATTGTTGTTGTTCTTATCTTACAGATGGGAAAAACGAAGTTTAGAGGATAATGTACTGATTTGTTTTTTCTGCTTTTCCCAGGTGTTTTGGAATAATCATACATTAATTTGTAATAGTCCAAATAATCTTTGTGATTTTTTTAAAAGAACTGAAGAGGAAAGATGGTGGACACTGAGACCATATAGTCTATGTGAGATTGGCTAGGAGGATGTACTTATGACCCCAGGAAAGGGATGGAATACTTGAACAAAACACAGAGAAAGCAAATCATAAAGCAAGTAATTGATACATTTGCCTATATTAAAATTACAAACTTCTGCATGATAAAAGAAACCATAGACAAAGGGAAAGACAAGCTATTGAATGGGAGATGTTTTCACCACATATGCTAACAAAGGACTAGTATCTGAAACATATTAGAAAGTTCCTGCAAATCAGTAACGGCAAGAACAGTAGCTCAAGAGTGAGAAAAGTAGCTGAATACAAATAATCAACTAATTTTGTTTGGCAACTCACAGAAAACATTACTGTCCAGTAAAAATACAAGAAGATGCTCAAACTCATGAGAATGAAGGAAAACAATAAATGCCATTTAACACTCATCCATTTGGCAAAAATGGAAAAGTCTGACACAACCAAGTGTTACAAATAAAGATGTAGAAAATGAGGAAATTGGCAGGGGGCAGTGGCTCACACCTGTAATCCCAGCACTTTGGGAGGCTGAGGTGGGTGGATCACCTGAGGTCAGGAGTTTGAGACCAGCTTGGCCAACATGGTGAAACCCTGTCTCTGCTAAAAATACAAAAATTAGCCGGGTGTGGTGGCATGCCTGCAATCCCAGCTACTGGGGAGGCTGAGGCAGGAGAATTGCTTGAACCTGATAGGCGGTGGTTGTAGTGAGCTGAGATTGCGCCATTGCACTCCAGCCTGGGCAACAAGAGCAAAACTCTGTCCAAAAAAAAAAAAAAAGGAAAGAAAATGAGGAAATTATACAGTGCTGGTAAAAGTGTACCTTGGTGCAAGTACTTCTAGGTGTATGTCTTAGAGAAATGTCCTATATTTGTAAAAGGTACATTAACAAGTATGTTCCTAGTCTGTAATAACATTGCCTATAATAGCAAAAACCTTGGGATCAACTTAATTATATAAAAATACATTCTATACTGATGAATCTTAAGAACATTCATTGAGAAAAAACACAATTTTTAAAATGATGTATTCAATATGGTACGATTTCTATCCATTTAAAATTTCTAAACAGTGCTTTATATTACTGTGTGTATACATATGTGGTAAACGTATAAAAATCTGCCTGAGAGGCACACAGAACAATTTCTAATAGTGGTTGCCTTTGCAGTTGAAGAAAGGGAGAGGATTAGGAGTTGGGAGGTTGCTAACTATATTTGTAGTGTTTTATATCTTTTAAAAACAATTGCTCTTTTTTAATTTACCAAAAACTGAAAAAATACGAATATGTATGAAATCTGGGAAGTGGGTATACAGGTCTCTGCTACATTATTTCCAACACTTTTTGCTATAGTCTGAATGTTAGTGTCACCCCAAAATTCATATATTGAAACCTAATCACCAATCAGTTGGTATTAGGAGATAGGGCTTTTGGGAAGTGATTAGGTCATAAAATCAGATCCCTTGTGAATGGAATTAGTGTCCTTATAAAAGAGGCCCCAGAGAGTTGCCTTGCCCCTTCCATCATGTGAGGACACAGCTAGAAGCCACCATCTGTGAACCAGAAAGAGACCTCTCACCAGACACCAAATGTGCTGGTACCTTGATCTTGGACTTCCTAGCCCCCAGAACTGTGAGAAATAAATTTGCTTATAAGCTACTCAGTTTATGGTATGGTACTCAGTTGTTGATAAGCTACTCTGTTTATAGTATTTTGTTATAGCAGCCTGAGTGGACTAAGACACTTTTGTCCATGTTTAAAATAATTAATAATTTTAAAATTAATAATAAAAATGAAATAAGACAGTAACAGATTGGAAAGCAATTTATTAACTATAACCAAACATAAATAATTTCATGACCGACAATATAATAGAAAGCTGTTCTTAATTTTTTACTTTAGTAGAAAAATTTAGACCACAGACAAAGAGGAACTTGCAGACCATGAATGCTATTTAGACACTAAGACTATTGTGTAGTATTTGGGATACCCTTTTAAAATAACTTGAAAAGGAGGCTGGAGTCCCATCTGTCTGAAATGGTTTAGGTTAAAGCTTCTTGTTTTGCGATTCTTCTGATCAAAACTGTGACATTACCCTGGGGTGAAGCAGGGGGATCTGTGTTGCCTAGTATTCTGCACTGAGGCTGGTGTAAAAATGTCATCATATGGTCCACCAACCATGGAATCCATGAGCTGGAGGTCTGAGGTATTAGTGACACAACCCCTCTTTTTTTTTTTTGAGACAGAGTTTTGCTCTTCTCGCCCAGGCTGGAGTGCAGTGGCACCATCTTGGCTCACTGCAACCTCCGCCTCCCAGGTTCAAGTGATTCTCGTGCCTTAGCCTCCCAAGTAGCTGGGATTACAGGCATGCACCACCATGTCCAGCTAATTTTTGTATTGTTAGTAGAGAAGGGGTTTCTCCATGTTGGTCAGGCTGATCTCAAGCTCCCAACCTCAGGTGATCTGCCCGCCTCGGCCTCCCAAAGTGCTGAGATTACAGGCATGAGCCACCGCACTCGGCCACAACCCCTCATTTTATAGGTGAGAAAGTGGGGAGTTATTAGGGGAGATGTCGCCAACTTGTTAGTAGCAGAACCAGGGCAGGAAAACTTGTTGCCTGCTCACAGATGGTTTTCTTTTCTTTTTTTTTTTAATACTCTCTTGCATCTGAAATATTCTGACTTCAGGGTTTCTTTTTTTTTCTTTCTTCTTCTACTAGAAATGAAGATGGCATATGGAAAGGCGATTCTTATACTCAGAAGGAAAAGTTCCCATGGAAGCCATGGATTCATTCATGACAAAGTGGGTGGCCTGTTTGTTTGCTTGAGGCAAGTCTTTGGAAGTTTTTCTTTTCTTTTTTTTTGCACAGAGAAAAACGCTTTAGTAGTTTTCTGGCAAAATACCAGGTTTATTGATTGAGAGTGACAAACTATTTTCCAGTTTGTAATTGGTAAATATAAAAATAGTGCCTTGACGGATGTGTGAGGCACAGGAGTTACTCATTTCACCCAACTAATAGCTAATTACAGAGGTAGAGGGATGGAGATTAATGCCAGCAAACTGACACAAGCTCTATGACTAGTGTTCCTGAATTTCCTGGTCTTTACATTCACCATATGGTCAGTTTGATGAAGTCACCATATGAAAATATGGTGACAAGATGAGGTTGATAAACCTAAAACACAAAACCAAGGAGCGGTGAACCCTGCACATCAGCTGGGGCTTTGATCTCCATGTGTCCTGTCCAGAGCCACCAGAAATAACTCCCTGCCCCAAAGGTGACCCTACGAGCTAAGCAACTAGTCTTTCCTGGGGCATAATATTTCCTGTGTCCCAAGGACTAAGGAATTTTTATGGCATTTTAACAGGCGTATGAAGTCAGATCTAGTTTGGAATTCAGCTTTACCACTAACTAGTACCACTAACTAGCTGTAAGACTTAAGGCAACTTATTTGACTTTTTAAAGCCTTAGTTTCATCATCTGAAAATGAGGATGAGAATTGTAGTAGCTTCCTTAAATAGTAGTTCAGAGTATTCAGCGAGACAATGTGCATAAAGCCCCACTCCTAATGTGCCTCCTAATGCGCCTCCTAATGCACCTCCTACCTCACAGTGAGTGTTCATTACATGTTGATGGTGGTTATTATCATAGCGGACCCCTTGATGCATTTGGCTTTGTCTTAGCCTGTTTGATGTTGCTATAATGGAATACCTGAGGCTAGATAATTTATAAAGAAAAGAGGTTTATTCGACTCACATTTCTGTTGGCTGGAAGGTTTAAGACTGGGCATCTGGTGAGGAGCTTAAGTAGCTTCCATTCATGGTGGAGGGTGAAGGGGAGCCAGGATGTGCTGAGATCACATGGCAAGAGAGGAAGCAAGAGAGAGACAGGGGAGGTGCCAGGCTCTCTGAAACGATCAGCTCTTTTGGGAACTAATAGAGTGAAAACCTTGCTCATCCTTCCTCCAGGGAGTGAATTAATCTATTCATTATGGCTCCATCCCCATGATCCAAGCACCTCCCATTGGTCTCATTTTTAACATTGGGGATCAAATTTCAATATGAGATTTGGAGGGGGACAAACCTTCAAACTACAGCAGGCATGTCTGATGGAAACATCTATATGCTTTGATTGCTTGATTACCCTAAACAAAAAAGCCCTTAGAACTCCTGCTATAGACATTCACGGGCCATCTTCCTTCCCTGAAGGGATCTCTCTTGCCTCCCATCTTTGCTAGTGTTTCTCAGAGTCTGCTCTGAAGACTTTCTATCTAAAGTAGGATAAGAAGAGTTCTGTGATCAAAACTGCTCAGAAAATAAAGCCTACATATGTTCCTTTTCAAGATTCGTGATGTACACTTGCATTGGTCTCCTGTAAAGGAACAAGTTTAACATTGTTCAACGTGGTGTTTCTAAAACTAACTGAACCAGGGGGATCCTTTTGGCCTAACTGCTGTTGCTACCTGACAGATCCTGATTTCTATGGTGCATCGCCTGGACCTTGCTGCCCTAGACTCTCAACTCTGTTGTTTATTTGTTGGCTATGGTAACTTGGAAGCCAGTGATGGGGCTACTGACAGCCAGGAACTGCCCCACCCCACTGACACTTTGGTGGGCTGGGCTTGTACACAGGCACTCTGAGAACCCCCTTGTGCTCCTTGCTCCTAAAACTAGCAAAATACAGGGGACTGTGCTCTCCAGATGTTTGCTAATCCCCTGTGAGTGTGCTGATATATGCAACTATGCTGGTGTTACTCTGACCTGAGAAATAAGGAGACCATATGTCCATGTTGCAGCAGCGGCAGCATCCAGCAGGACCAAGGTTTCTGTGCACCAAAGACTGGTTCTAGATTTGTCTCCCAGACTGTGGCTCCTGCATCTAGTGCTCCAGGCAGCTAATGTCCCTGTGCACATCCTCTGTTCTGAGGAGGCCCAGCTTGATTTGAGTGGCAGCAAGCCCAAAACATACCTGGGCAACTCTGGTCCCTGCTTTTGTTCCCTTATCATCAGCTATGCCCTAAAGTCGATTTTCTTCTCTGTCAGATTATAATAACATTATGCTAAGAACAGCCCAGATGAGTGCTGCCAAACTTTAACTTGCATACACGTACAAACTTTAATTTGCATACCTGGAGGATCTTGCAAATTGGGATTTCCAACTTTTGAGATAGAGTTTGAGATCTGGAAATCAGCATAGACTATGGGTCACACTTTGAGTGGCAGGAAGCTAGGTTTAAAGACTGGATTCTCCTAAAGAGAGACTGTGGAGTGCATTTTGCCTAAGGGTTTTCAGGTTCTAAACAATTTAATAGATATTTTCTCTCTTGTTAGAACCTTGCAACAATCCTTTGAGGTAGCCTAGCAGGATTCTTATATCCATTTAAAAAATGAAGACATTGAGATTCTGAGAAATGGAGTAACTTACCTGAGGTCAACTCATAACGGAAAAATCTGTCCAGGGCTCTATTTACTGCAGCACAACTGCTTGATTAAGGAGGAAGGAAAACTTCTAAGCATTAGCTCCTGAGCTGCCAAAGCAGTATTTACCCTTCTTTCTTGGTATGACTTTTGACCAAGATTATGTGTATGCCTATCACCACCTCTAGCTGACAGCAACCTCTGGAGGATAAAATTCTATTATGTCTATCTTCCCACTCCTAACAGCTCTTGACTATGGGGTTGACTATGGGATTGTTGACTAAATGACTGGGTATCTGAGGGTGCTCACTTATTGTCAGTGAAGGATGACACTTTCTGTGGTTCTTATCTTTGTAAGGGCTCCTCATTGCTTATAGCAAGGGCTCTTAATCTTTGGGGAAATGAAGGATTTTACTGAGAATAATATCTTCTGTGCTGCTGCTTCTCAGAAGGTTGTTGCTGTGGTTTCAATGTCCCCTCCAAAAACACCAAAAACAATTTTTAAACTTAATGGCCATTGTAACAGTATTACAATATAAGACCTTTAAGACATGATTAGGCCATGGCCCTCATGAATGGATCAATGCTGTTATTGTGGGAATAGGTTAGTTATTGTGGGAGTGGGTTCCTGATAAAAGGGTGAAGTTCAGTTCCCATTTCTCTCTCTCTCTTGCGTTCTTGCTTCTGCCTTATGCTTCTGCCATGGGATGACCCTCACCAGATGCCAGCACCATGTTCTTGGAATTCCCAGTCTCCACAACCCTGAGCCAAATAAGCTTCCATTTTTATTAAATTATCTAGTCTGTGGTATTCTGTTATTGCAGCAGAAAATAGACTAAGACAGAAGATTGGTACCAAGAAGTGGAGCTGTTGCTACTCAAAAATACCTGAAAATGTGGAAGCCATTTTGGAACTCAGTAATAAGTACAGACTGGAAGAGTTTGAAGAAGAATGCTAAGAAAAGCCTGTATTGCCATAAACAGAGCATTAAGGGTGTTTTTGGTGAAGGGTCAGAAGAGGAGAGCTGCATGGGAAATCTGAACCTTCTTAGAGATTACTTAAGTGGTCATGACCAGAATGTTAGTAGAGGTATGGATACTCAAGGCCCTTCTGATGAAGTCTTAGATGTAAATGAAGAACAAAGTATTGGAAATGAAAGTAAAGTTTATCCTTTTTATGTAGTTGCAAAAACTTGGTGGAATTGTGTCTGTGTCCTAGGGCTTTATGGGAAGTAGAACTAGGATATCTGGCAGAAGAAATATTTAAGCAACAAAGAATTGAGGCTGCTGTGTGGTTACTTGTAACTGCATACGGTAAGGTGCAAGAGCAAAGAGATGACTTAAAGACAAAATTTATAATGAAAAGTAAAGCAGAATAGAAATATTTGGAAAGTTTATAGTCTGTCCATGTAAAGAGTAAAAAAACATATTTGGGAGAGAATACTAAGGATGTGGCCAAGCCATTTTTGATAAAGAGATTATCAAGGATAAAAGGAGCTAGGTAGTATTCATCAAGACAGTGGAAGAAAGACTCTGAAGGCCATCAAAAATCTTTGAGGCTGCCCACTTCCATCACAGACTTAGAGCTCTAAGAGGGCAGAATGATTTCGGGGCATAGGCCCAGGGTGCCTCTCATGGGCTCACTGCTCAGAGCCATCTCAGGTTTCTGTGCCCTGCATTCTGGTACAGCACTCCTCTCTGCCCTAGCCATGACTCAATTGGGTTCTTGTGTGTCTTGACCTGCCACTCTGAAAAGTACATGCTAGAAGCCTTAACAGTGTCCGTTTGGTGCTAATTCTGTAGTTATGCAAAATGCCAGAGCTGTGGAGAATGGCATCTTTCAGATTTTGTGGAGAGATGTTGCAGATGGCCTGGGGGCCCAGGCAGAAACCTACTGCAGGGGTAGAGCTACTACATAGCATCTCCATCAGGGAAACACCTAGTGGAGCCCAGACAGCAAGGCCACCTCAGAGACCTCAGGACTTCAGAGTCACTAGTATGCAACTCCAGCCTGGGAAATCTGCAGGTGTAAGACTCCAACCCTTGAGAGCTGCTGGGAAGGCTAAGCCCAGCAAAGCCATAGGAGTGGGGTTGTCTGAGACCTTGGGGGCCCAATTCCCACAGTAGTGTGGCCAGGAAGCAGAATGTAGAATCAAAGGAGATTATTCTCTAGCTTTAAGACTTACTGTTTTATGGGGCGTGGTGGTTCACGCCTGTAATCCCAACACTTTGGGAGGCCGGGCGGGTGGATCATCTAAGGTCAGGAATTTGAGATCAGCCAACATGGTGAAACCCTGTCTCTACTGAAAAAATACAAAAATTAGCTAGGCGTCGTGGCGCACACCTGTAAGTCACAGCTGAGACTGGAGAATCGCTTGAACCTGAGAGGCAGACGTTGAGTGAGCTGAATCATGCCACTGCACTCCAGCCTGGGTGACAGAGCAACAGAGTGAGACTCTTTCTCAAAAAAAAAAAAAAAAAAAAAAGACTTAATGTTGTTTTCCCTATTGGGTTTTGGACTTACTTGAGGCCTTTTACTCCCTTCCTTTTTCTTGTTGGCCCTTTTTGCTGTAGAAATGTCTATTCTATGCCTGTCTCACCATTGCATTTTGGAAGTAGGTAACCTGTTTTGATTTCACAGGCTTACAGCTGGAGGGAGTTTGCCTCAGGATGAATTGTGCTTTGGGGCTCAGCCATCCATGTCTGATTTAGATGAGACTTTGGACTTTTGAATTTATGCTGGAGCAAGTTAAGACTTTTGGGCTATTGAGACGGAATGAATGTGTTTTGTGTGTGAGAAGGACATGAGTTTTAGGGGCCAAGGGCAGAATGCTATGGTTTGAATATCCCCTTCAAAACTCATGTTGAAATTTAATTGCTATTATAGTAGATGGTGCCTTTAAGAGGTAATTAGGCCATGCGTGCTCCTCTCTCATGAATGGATTAATGAAATGATCACAGGAGTGGGTGCCTGAAAAAAGGATGAAGTGCAGCCCCCATTTCTCTGTTGCCTCGTGTGCTTGTAGGCTCTCTCTGTGCTGCCTGGTGTCCAAAGCTCCTTGAGATGTAGGCAATGTGCTTTCTACTATGATGTCCTGGTTGAGGCTCCTTTGATAGCAAGTAGCCAAAATCTATTTGAGTTAGTTTAAACAAAATTATATTTGTTTTTGTTTTTGTGTGAGGGGGGAAGGCTACTGGGATAGTTTCTAGAATCAATGGAAAAATTGGAAAGGAGCAAGGCAAAAATTCAGGTGGCATTTCCAGGAACCTCAGTGACCAGAACTAGGGGCTTGAATGATACAAGGTCATTCTATCTCTTCTTTTTTATTCATATTAAGGGGACATGGCTGCGGGCAGCTTCCAGTTCATGTTTCACAGGCCTGAGACCAGACAGAAAAAAGTTCTTTTCTACCAGTTTTAATAATAATCAAAATAAGAAGTCTTGAATGGGGTTTCCTGGGGGCAGTGTCCATCATGGACCAATTGCTGTGGCCAAGAAGGTAGAGTAGGGTGGCCATGCTGCTTGGGTTACATGCCCACTCCTTACCCATCCCTGCATCAGGGAGAAGTGATGAAGCCAGAGGAGAGGTGATAAAGCCTCATGCCTGGCTCCTTTTCCCACCATATGGGCGGAGGGGTGGGATGACTCCCTAAAGACAAGGAGGCACCCACAGGAACTCTGGGGAAAGGAGGTCAGGTTTGTTTTCTCTAATTTCTCTTGTGAAATCCTTTGTTGCAGTTGGTTGGGTTCTTGCTGTGCGACACTCAAATACTCACTGCCACCCCTGGGCTCCTGGGACTCCCTCCTGTCCTGCTTCTTGTTTTGGACTTAACCCTATATTTGTCTCCAAAGGTTGCAGTAACAAAGTACAACGTTACTTTTAAGCACTGGACTTAAAACAACAGAAATTTATTCTGTCATAGTTTTGGAGTCTAAAAGTTTGAAACCAGGGTGTAGGCAGTAGGCAGGGTTGATTCATTCTGGGCACTCTGAGGGAAAAAGTGCCCCATGCCTCTCGCCTGGGCATGCCTGGGCTTGTGGATGCCTCACTCCAGTCTCCACCACCATTTTCCATGGCCACTGTCTTCACATGGCTCTCATCTCTCTGTGTGTCTTCTCTATGAGGACACCAGTGATATTGGATGGAGGACCTCCTCCTGCAGCATGGCCTCATCCTAGCTAGTTACACCTGCAACCATCTTCTTTCCAAATTTGGTCCCACCCTGAGGTACTAGGGGCCAGGACTCCAACATATCTGTTGAGGGGACAGAATTCAGCCCACTTACCAGGCTCCCAGATGAAGACCAGCATCTTCAGGAGGCCTTTGCTGACTCTCCCAGGTCGGGTCCATTTCTCCTTAGAGCTCCCATTGTCTTGACTGTGCAGCTGCTGTATAGCGTTGGAGCCTTGGGCTCTCTACGGACACCTCACCTTTTTGCAAGACCAAAGTTCCTTGAGGGCAAAAATTCAGATCTTTTTAATATCCCTGTGGTGTCTAGAACGGCGCTTAACACCACGTGAGCACTCAGTGAATGCCAGGGAATGAATGTGGGGGTGACGGAGTGGTAATGAGACTACTTGAAATACCCCCCAGCTTTCTTCTCCAGATTGCCAGCCTGAAAGGGAACTGGGCAAAGGTGATACCTATCAGTCTTTTGACTTCAGCCGCCCATGCAGAATCACTGGAGGGGTCAGGGAAGGAGCCCTGCTAGCTTCAGGTTTCCTCTGAGGCCTCAGGCGGTGGGAGAACTCCATGCTCATGCTCTGGGCTTGGCCTCAGTGAGGCCCAGCCACGCTGCCTCAGCCTGTGGACTTCTCTTGGGGTCAGGAAGGCAAGATGATGGGACAAACCACTTTTGAGACACGTGTATATTTGTTCTTGATCTACAAGGCCAGGTATGTCCTGGGACTCAGGAAACTCAGTGTTTCAAACTTGCTTTGTGATAATGTCCTGCCTGTACCAAGCTCAGATTCTTCCAGTAGGGCCTCCAAGAAGGAGCATTTTCATGCAAAGGGATGGGCAGGCTCTGTGTCAGCTGTCAGCACCCGGGAAAGCAAAGGACCTGGAATGCTCTGTATTTAGCTGGTGACAGTGAGATGTCACAAAGAGTTACTTGGGGAAGACGACATTCAGCACGAACAATGACGTGGTCAGGAATCGCTCACCATCTATGATGACGTGGGGCTGACCAGCAGGAGATCAAAGCTGGCAGGCGCCTTGGCTGGGGTGGTAGCTGGCCACTGTGCTCCATCCTCTCTGCCCTCCTCCATAAACCATCTGTGACAGGGTGGCATCTCCAGCAGGCCGGCAGTGCAGAAGGGAACATGTGCAGCCATATTTCAGCCTGGACACCAGGACTTTAATGTGAACGCCTGCGTGTCTGGTGCTGAAGTTGCGCTGAAGCTGATTTGTGGCCGTCTGAATTTACAGCCTCGGAGAACAACAGCATCCACCAACTAGACCCATATGTGTTCAGTCCCCAAGCCTGGGTCTCAGAGAACAGCACAGGGGAAGGATGCGGAGGGGAGCAAGAAAGGAGATTTTATTTTGGTTCCCAGCAATCGGTGGTGAAATAGACACGCACACAGCGGTTTCCTAGTGGCATTTTAAGGGCATCCACCCGCTCTCACAACTCATCCTCCTTCTCTCTCTCACCCAAGGTTTTCTGCACAGCCTTGAGCTTGAAGAGATTTATAGAAGTAACTCAAAATCACAAACATCCTACTGTCCAAGGCTGGCACCACAAAGTCACCTGCTTAGTCTGGAATTCCCACGAACTCTTAATCTCATTACACCAGCTCTGAGCTTCAAAGACAGCAGGGCTCAGTTTTCCTTGTGGGTGGGACTGGATTGCTCTGCTCCCAGGCAAGCACAGAAAGACCCTATAGAAGGACACAGGGCCTGACTCACATAATGGGAGGGCTCCAGCAGGGCTCAGCCTCCCACAGTCTCTCCTGTTGCTGCTGCCTTGTGACAGGTCTGAACTCTCCTAAGCCAGGGAGATAAGCTAGCCCTCCACCAAGCCCTCTAGCTCCAAGATCCAGAAACCCAACAGTTAGTGAACATTCTAGCAGCTCTGCACTAGGCCTAATCCTATCAGGTTATGAATTACTCTTTCTTTCCCCAATAAAGAAAGAGTCTAAAATGCTTTCCCCCAGGGGCAGGTGACATAGACTTGTTCAGACTATGGCAGGGCCTGACATCAGCACCTGTCCTGAGAGCAGATATGCAGTCTCTGGGGTGAGTCCATGAGGGCACAGCAGGATGGAAGGGGAAATGGGGAGAAAGGTCTGCGAGTGGGTCATAGTTGCCAGGCTTGCGTTCTGTCTTCCACCCAGGAAACAGAAGGTATGGATGTTCCTGGGCATCTAACATTCTTTCTTGATCAATCCTTGTCAAGTGGCATTGTTTACGGGGAATGTAGCCTCTCTGCGAGTTAGGGGTGTGTGCGTGTGTGTGCATTTGTGCATATGCGCGCATGCACGCATATGCTTATGAGGAGAGACAGTGGTAGCAAGGTGACAGCAGAGATGAGGCATGACAGGTAGAAAGGGTTCCTAAATCAGAGTAAGAGGACTGTGTTCAAAGCAATGGCTCTGTCATGTCCTGGCAATGTGTACTTGGGCCAGTCACTGTGCTCTCTGAATGTGAGATTTCTTTGCTAGAAAAATGGATAATAATCCCTTCCCTGCTTACCGTCTTCCCAGGGCTGTTAGGATGACAAAGGAGAGGACGTATATGCAACATCATCCCATAGACTATAAATCAATAAACAAAATGGTGTGTGTGTGTTGGAGGGGGTGGGATATTATACACTCATAGGAAATCAGTAACAGCTTTAGAGCTCACCAGGCCCAATCCTCTGATTTTAGATAAGTTCAGAAAAGTTGAGAGGCTTGCTAAGGACATACAACATTAGGCTGATGACATAAGTGGTTAGATACAAAATAAGATGGAACTCATATGTATTTGGAAATTTAAAGAAATATTCAGAAAAATAACTCTATCTACTCTTAAAACAAGACTCCACCACCACCATGGAGCTGCTTTTTAGCTTTGTTTTGTTTTCATCACAGCTGTGGATGTTTCTGTCAACATTATTCCAAACTAATGTTCGGTTTGGATTTCTAACTGCCATAAAATCTCTCAACAAAGACACCACGTTCCTCTTTGTGGATTCCTTGGTTTCTTCCCTGACCACGCTGTTACTCTGTGACCTAGGAAAATGAGCCAGGGCGGGAGAGCAAGGGATTCACCAAGAAATGCTCACATTGGAGAATGATCCTGACCTCTGGATCATAAAGTGTGGATCATTGGCAAATTGCTTAAGATAACACTGTGGCAGGGAAAGTAATGTTCAGTTTAAAAAAAAAACTGGCATCAATTCTCTGAGGGAGAGAATTGTCTTTTGTTCTGCTAAATACTTTGATTACTTTTTGGAGTGTGGAAGGTGAGCTTCCCCCCAGGACATGGCTTAACTGAGCTAGACTGGATATGGCTTCCAATCTTGGCTGTGCATTAGAATCATCTGAGCTTTGAAAAAAATATGCATGCATGTACCCCACCTTTAGAGCCTCTGATGTGATTGGTCTATGCATGGGTATCTAAAAAAAAATTCCCCAGGAGATGTGATTCCCCTAGGCCAGAACCAAACAAGAGGGGCAGGGAGAAGAGTGACAGAAGTGGAGGGGCTGATGCTTGATGGGATACAAGAGAAGGAAAACGAATTCAATCTGGGTGGCAGTGGGTTGGGGCTCTTTGCAAAGAGATGGCAGTGAGGAGTTTTTAACAAGCAAGGGGTGTTAAAAAAGGAGTCACTGGCATTTAATTTTAGGTTGGTTGTTGTGATGCAGTGTAACCCCACCCTATACCTTCAAATTCCCATGGAAAGTCTCTACCTGCCAAGGCTAGTGTCCGTAGTACTGCGGGGAACGTGCAAAAACTAAGGCAGGCTCCAGTGATGGGCCGAGAAATTCCGACACCTGCAGAAGATGAAACTGGAGCAGGGTTAAGAATTCAGGAAGAATGGGAAATTGGAGCTAGAGGGAACTGGGACAAATAGAACCACCCTAAGAATCTTCTGATATATTGCCAGAGATGCTGGGGCTCCTACTGTTGGTGGGCAAAGCATTGAAGGTGATTTTATTTTAGTCTGAATACATAGCCACCAAGAACATGAACACTTACAAAGAGCTGAGACTTAAGCCAAGGAATAAGAAATAATTCACCATCTTCCACTCCATCCACCTTTCACACTCCACATGTGGAATATTTTATAGCTATCACAGCTCATTTGCATTCTTCTTGTTTTGAGCCTTCCAACAGGCCTCAGAGGTGGGTGAGGAGGGAATTTGTCACATTTCATTGGTGAGAAAAGGTAGTCATCAGTAGCTGGAAACTTGTGTACAGCGAGTTACAGCAGTGGTGGAGCTGTGGCTCCTGGCCTGAGCTTAGTGATCGCCCCGCCATTCCAGGCTGACGTTGGTTTTTCTGACCACCTCAGCCCTGGAGGGAGATCTTCTAAGACTCTCTAACAATGTGAGTTCCATATTCAACCATTATTTAATCTCTTCTCGTTCTTCCATTTTTCGTCTCCCCTCTCTTTCTTTTCTCTCCTGTTTCCCTTCTCCATCCCTCCTCCCCACTTCCCCAGTTCCCCATCTCCTCATCCTCCTCGGCCACTGCTTCTTTAGCATTTACAGGCCCGTGCTTTCACTGGATGGATCTCCCCCCAGAGCAGTAGCTTCACATATGAAGTACGTACAAAAATGTTTTCTAGTCCTTCTTCATTATTTGGTCTTCTGTGTTTCTTTATCCCGTTCCAGGATGAGTCAAATGTTCTTACCAGCATGTATTGCAGAATCACCGAGCCTGGAATTGGAAAGCACTTGCCCTCCCTATCTGTAAGGAACTTCCTGGGCTTGCTCACCATCACCACAAATTGTTGATGTAACACTCATTCTCGGCAGATACTGAGTACTAAATATGCTAACTGGTTTCAGCTGACCTTTGCTCTAGATTCAAAAGAAAGGAATGGTGACCCATTTTTCCCACATGGAAGTAAATAGCTGAGTGTATTTTATGCCCAGGTGTTTGCCATATAGCTTGATAGAAAACCATGTCCTGGAAAACTATAAGCCAATCTAACTTATAGAAATAAACGGAGTGAGAATCATTATTTTTTATTGGTACCACTTAATGTAAAGAAAATGCACATTTTCCAAAAATATGGAAAAAACATTGCGTTTGCCTTATTGGGTCCAAATGTTAGGTTTAAATTATTTTACTATGCAAAGTTTCTTTCATATCTTGGCAGTAGTGATTTCCATTTTTATTCCTTTGGTATCCATAATCTTATGAGAATCAAAAACATATGCTTTGAGATCACTGGATAGCTCCTCCTCCAACATGTAAAAAAATGCATGGGGAAGGTTATTGCTCTGGTAGCAAAAATACCAGGAACGCTATGGGAGAAAATTATGAGGACATCTAGGCTGGATGGGAAAGAGGTTCAAAGGTGCATTCTGGTTTTCATGCTTTTGATTTGCAAGTCATTAGACTGGAAGAGCCTCTGCCTCCTGCTGACTGCCACTAGGAATGAAATTTTTTCTTGCCTATTAGGGGATGCTTATTCAATGACTCCAGGTTTGTAGTATGTGAGGAGAATGAGAGGACTGGATTCTCCAGTGCTTCTTGAGATGGGGCACTTGTTGTCTGGAGGACTGGGCTAAAAGTAGATGGACTTCTGGCATTCCTTTGTCTGCAGGAGGAGGGGGCATTTGGCAGAGTAGGAGATGTATCATGGGGGTTTCAATCTCAGGAATTTTAGGCTCACAGAGATCAGGATAAGTCAATAAAAAGATTGAGTGCTTTACGTTCTTGCCTGAAAAAGTAATTATTAGAGAACAAATTTTGAGAACAGTCAGATATTAAGGGAAGGGAAGGTGAGAAGGTATGTGGAGAAGAAGAGAAAGGGCAGATGGAGGCTCAGCATCCCCCAGGGGTAGGATGTCAAGGGTTCGTGTTGGCCTTGCCCATGCACTGGGCTGTAGTCCAGCTGTTATGTCAGCAGGTTACACAGTGCTTCAGGGATCCTCACTCAGCCAGCCTCATTTTGCAATGTTTTAAATCCTTTTACTGGGAAGTGATGATTCAGTGCAATGTCATAGGGATCCCAGTGTAGGGTGGGAGCAAACTGACATGGTGCTACATTTCAGACCCTAGGTGTACCCAGAGAGATAAAAGATATGATTCTAATGCTATCAGTTTGAGTTTTGTCTGCCTCCAGAACAGAATGTACCATCTGTAGAGGTGACTGGACTTAGACTCAGAGCTGGGCAAACTTTAAGGCCTCTATACAACAAGCATGGTGGTCGAACACCTGTAAAGAAGTGGCTTCGGTCGGGCGCGGTGGCTCACGCCTGTAATCCCAGCACTTTGGGAGGCCGAAGCAGGCGGATCACAAGGTCAGGAGATCGACACTGTCCTGGCTAATGTGGTGAAACCCCGTCTCTACTAAAAATATAAAAAATTAGCCGGGCATGGTGGCAGGCACCTGTAATCCCAGCTACTTGGGAGGCTGAGGCAGGACAATCGCTTGAACTCAGGAGGTGGAGGTTGCAGTGAGCTGAGATTGCACCACTGCACTCCAGCCTGGGTGACAGAGCGAGACCAGGTCTCAAAAAAAAAAAAAAGAAGTGGCTTCATAGGCCTCACCTGTTGTTGGGGATGTAACTCGGAGGACTGAGCTGGCTCACAATTTTGCTTATTCCTTGTTCCAGGAGTAGCCCACGAGAGCCCTAAAAGCATTGGATTCAGAGCAAAGGGCTCAACTAGAGTTTTTGGATCCCATTGATTTTAGTGGGTTCATAAACTCTATTTGTGGAATATTATACACAGATCTGTGTATTCCGGAGATACAGAACTTTCATAAAATGCCATACACATTTTTGACTCCAAAAAAAAAAAAAGGCTAAAAATCTCTAAAATGGGGAATTCTCTACTTTTGGTGAAAATGGAGTAGTGATTACTATTAGTTAGAATCTTGTTTTTCTCAGAAGCCAGGGCTGGAGATGTTCCTCCAACTGTGCCTGCTTTTCCCATTCTGTCTTTCTCTCATCCCCCACTGCAGAGTTGGTGGCACCGGGACCTGAAGTCTTCTATCTCTTTTCCTTCATGTGCTACTCTCACTTCCCTAGCCAGGATGTGGGGTTGGTAAAAACAGGTCCCTTCTACCTGACGCTTGTAACTCGAGGCCCAGCCCTGAAGATCTGAGTTCTGGAGACTAGAGTTTCATGGCGATTGTTAAGGTGATTGTTGCAGGATTTTCAATGCCCTTCAAATCTGCTGCTCCTTCTCTTTCTGATTCAAACCCAGGGACTGTCCAGTGCAATGGCTCCAGACAATAGGAGCCTGTGATTTTGTTTCTCCAGTGATATTTGCTGATAGTTTCTGTGGTCTGCAGGTCTCTTTTGATGGGTAAGTGAGCTTACTTTTCAGTATGATATGGAACCCAAATCAGGCATTTAAGACTACATCTGATATATGGCTGACCTGTCCAGCCTAAGGTCTCTCCTCCCCTGTCTCAATTTCCCTCCAGGCCAAGCCTCTAATGTTTCCCAAAACACCCAGGACCACATCATTCCCTTGCCTCCTTTGTACCTGCTGTTTGTCTTGTCTGGGCTGTGGCCTTGCTCTGTGTACACAGCCAGATGCCCCACATTTTCTCTGTCCTTGAGTTTATGATTAGTGAACAAGTATCTTAATCCACAGGCCATTCTTGCCCGTATTTCTGCAACTCATATGCTACATTTGATCCTCAGCAAAGTTATCTTGGAATGACCTTTCTCCCCTAGTCCTTTTGGAAAACTCACTCTTCTTTCAAATTCAACAGAAGCATCTTATTCTCTATGAAACTCTGTGTGATTTCCCCAAGCCAAGCTGTTCCCTCTCTCTTTTAAGGCCCCTTGTACCTGGGGGCACATGATGATTCTTGCCCTGTTTTCTCTGTATTGCACTTTTTTCTCTACATGTCTGGGAGCGCCTCTACTTGTAAACTTCTTGAAGACAGAAATTGCATCTTAGTTACTCTGCCTTTTCCTACATTTCCATATCCAGCACTCAATAGGTGCTTAGTAAATGTTTCTGAATGAATGAATAAATAAATGAATGGCAGTCACTCATCTAAGTCCTAATTAGTCGTAAGGATGAAGAATAAATGCACTCCACTCACAAATAAGCAAATATAATTGAAGTAACACAACTATTCAAAATATTTTTTCATATTATCAATTAATCTTTGTATTATATGAGGTTGGTGCAAAAGTAATTGAGATTTTTGCCATTATGGCAAAAATCTCAATTACTTTTGCACCAACCTAATAAAAGTGTAGAGAAAGTTTACAATTGTATGCTTAATAACCAAGTGGAATAATAAAGACTCCCTTACACCAGGACTCCATGACCTCCCTTACCTTGACTTTCTGACATTGGCTAGGATGCCAGTCAGAAATGCTGAGTGCCTCCTGCATGACCATCAGCTCATTGATCTCTAGAAACCAGCACAGTCTCTTTGCCAAACAAGACCTTAAAAATACTCAGGGGAAGCACCCGCAGCATTTGGGAGGTAAAGTGCTGCATTTCTTTGGGTTTCTTTGTTGCATTTCTTTGCATTTCTTTGTTGAACATGATTCAGGAAGCAGGCTTGTGTACATCTGTGTGGACAGGACAGATGTAAGAGTCCCACCAGGAACTCACCTCATCAGGACCCCAGTCTTCTCCCAGGAGGGCTCACATTGCATATCTCAATGGCTCAGCCTCCTTGGTCTCTAGGTTTCCTCTGCAAACCAAATTTTCACTCATTCAGGGTGGCTCCTTCTGCAGATCCAAGTCCTGCTCAAAATTCTCTTCACTGTGAAATATCAATGAAGCTTAAAGGCAGGGATGGAGCACACTAGTAATCAACCAGATTGGAGGATTATCACAAACAGAAAGCTAGGAGCTCAGGGAATTCAGTGGTAGACTTTCGGCCCAACCCCCCACCCTATTTCCCCATCATTAGCTTCTGCCAAGTTGCTTGGCATCCTGGGTCTCACTTTTCTTCACTATAACATGGGAATAAGAATAGTATTTCCACTTGCATCTCTAAATTATTATGAGGAGCAAATGAAATAAAGACTGAAAACATGTATCTAGTATACCATATTTGTTTGGCTTCTCACTGTATCCTTAGGGCCTAGCTGGGAGCCAGAACATAGAGGTGGCTCAGATCCTGGGGAAGTGGATGGCTTTTTGAGAAACAGAAGAGTATCATGGTGTATGTGACTCAGGCACCAGCCATCTTTGTTCAAGTCCCAACTCATTTTTCCTAGCTGTGTAGACCTAGAGTAAGTTACTTAAACTCACTCTATGTAACCAATGTCCTTTTTTTTCTGGAGAGACAATAATAGCATTTACCTTGTAAGATGGTTGTGAGGTTTAAAAGAGATCCTGCCTTTAAAGTTCTGGAACTTTAAAGTTCTTTAAACAGAGTCTTTCAATAAATATCAGCTGCTGTTATCCTTCCTCCTAAAAGCCTCCATTCACCCATAGGTAGAGAATAATACTCATGTGCAAGATACTTTGGGAAACTTTTATTCTCTTTGCCAGCACATAGGTTTATGTAACTTTGTCCATGAACTCCAAAGCATATACTGCTGGTCCCTTTTATGTAAGTCTTATACAGCTCTCTTTCTCTCCAGTGAAGTCAAATAATATATTTTAAGGCTCACGTTGCTTTTCCTTTGATTCTCCTAAGTTTTGTAAATAACTTTTAAATTTTTGAATAGTTTTAGATTTACAGAAAAGTTGCCAGTATAGCACAGAATCCTTGTATACCCTTCATCCAGTTTCCCCTAATGTTAACATCTTATATAACCATGTTACATTTGTCAGGACTAAGAATTCAACATTATACATCACTGTAAACCAAGCTAAAGGTGTTATTTGGATTCTACCAGTTTCCTACGAGCATCCTTTTCTTTTCCAGGATCCCAGCCATGTTGCCCTCAGTAGCCCTCCCTCCTTGGACTGTGACAGTTTCTCCATCTTCTTTTGTTTACATGACCTTGATCGCTTTGAGGAGTACAGGGTGAGTATTTTGTAGACTGTTCCTCAATTTGGGCTTGTCATATTTTTTTTGTCATGATTAGACTGGCACTGTGGGCTTTGGGAAGGACACCCTACAGATAAAGTGCTGAGCCCCACTTGAGTGAGAAATCTCTATGTCTTTGCTGCCTTTTCTTCTCTTCATTTTCTCTTTCTCTCTTTTCTGATTTTTCTCTCGCAAGTGGACTCACACTCTAAGTAAGCTGAAGGGAAATATGATTGTTCTCTGGAGGGAAATTAGAATTTGGAACTGAAGAAAGCATTTTGCTTGTGCCAACCTCCGTTATACTTGACATGCCAAAGACCACCACAGGGATTTAACCTTGCTTATTTCTCCCAGCTCTCACATTTGCTGGCTCTATATTGACACATGACATGAAATTGAGGGTTCCTTCAGTTCTATGTTCATTTCAAGTTGCAGGTGCTAACATTTCAGCCACATGCCCTGGGGGTCTTCTGCTTCTCTCCTCAGCATGCCCATGTCTCCATCTCTGCACGCTCATATTGTGTCCTTTCTTTACAGCCCAGGTCACATGCCACTGCTGTCCCTCCACAGCTAGGCTGGAGTCCAAGGTGGGAGTCAGGATAGATACACAGCTACAAAGGAAAGCACAAGTTGTGAGGGATTCTGAAACAGGGCTCAGTACCTGGGCTAGTGGTTTGGCCTCTGGGTGGAAGCCCCCATAATTCATTTCTATCTCCAGGCCATAGGTTCCAGCAGTTCTCATGACCCAGGTTACCACACATTGCTAGACAGGTGGGAGGCTCTAGCTGAACTGTCCTGAATCCCCAGCCGCAGGCTGTCTGACCCACCCAGGCAGTGTTTCCTAGCTGGTAAGGAGAAACCTTTGAAATAGGTGATCCTTGAGTGTGTTATATAGGAACTGATAAGTAATTTCACCTTAAAACTAAATGCTTTTGGGGGAAGACAATATTATTGAAATAATTTAAGCTTCATCTTTAAAATTCTAAATAAAAATACTTTAGCTAATGGTAATTAACATTCTGAAATCATATTTCTTAATTTTGAAGATGGGTTCAAGAAGGGGGAAAAACCCAGAAAGATGACTGGCAAATTTCAAACTGAATATTTAATTTTCACATGATTTAGGCTGAAATGCTCTGCAATCTATAGGTTTGTGAAGGTTAAAATTCATCAGAGCACATGGTTTCTTCAAGCGAAATCACAACTGGGGGCTTATGAAGGACGTCTTCAGTGGCACATGCTTGTTGGGGGAAAAGCCTTGTTTAAAACATAAGACAGAAAGTGAAACTGATATTCTTCATGCATTTCTTTGAGCTGCAGCCTGGTCTGGCATTCACTGAAACCAAATATTGCTGCTGTTCTGCCTTTGCTATAGCAGGACAAATCAGAAAGTGCTCAAGAACAATACGCAAATTACAGGCATTCAAAGACACTTGATGTGGATTCAGGCTGAGCCTTCTGGAGAACATCCCCAAACTATGTTTTCTGTGTTTCACAGAAACCACGGTTTCTCTTCCCCTTCCCCTAACTCCAGTTTCACCAAAGGCAGCATGGTATGACGATAGAAGAAGTATGGGTTTTAGGGGGTCACTGGCTGAGGTTCAAGTCTCAGCAACTTTGTTGCTAACTATGGTATCCTGAACAAGCTATTTGGTTTCAGAGTCTCAATTTCATCTGGTGTAAATAGGGCCAGGCTAGTTATTCCCAAGCATTTCAAAGTCATTATGAACATTAACAGTAGTTACCATTGGGAAAGCCTCTAGTATAGCTGCTAGGATATGAAAGGTGTTAAGGAAGCATCCTTTGACTTCTCTGCACTATAGATTTTTATTATTATTATTTATGTAGTTGGTCTATAAAGAAAGAGAAAAGTCTCCTAGAGCTTATCATGGAAATAAGCCCTTGTCCATTCCACTGGCTTACTCCACTGGCCTACTCCACTGACTATGTAGGATGGGTACTGAGATGTCACATGGCAATAGGGTCCGTGCTTCTTTTGGTCCTGCCAGTCAGAACATGGGGAGGTGAAAACTGCTGCATAGAGGAGGCAGGGGACTTGAGGGTAGGAGAAAGCTACCCCACCACCCCCTTTTCTCACTGTAAGGACATTTGAGCACTCTTTCCCCCACCATTCTGCTCCATGTGAACATGTATGTCCCACATATATGTTTTGCTTGTTCATGCCGAGTCAGCTGCAGCAAAGCACGAGTCTGCAATTTAGTGTCATTGTCAGGGCCTAACACATGGAATGAGTTTGATATTCACTTGTAGAAGAAGAGGAGAGAGCTGGGAATGGATTTGGAGAAGGACTGACCAGAGGATGGAAGAATAGTCAGAGCTTGGTTATGGAAATGCCTCCATTGGCAGAGAAGGGGAGCCACTGGATGGGCTTCTTATGGTCACTGAGGTTTTAGGGATGGTCTGAGGATACTCCAGGCTTTTAGCACAGACCTGCAAGGCAGACTGCAGGGAGAACAGTACTTTAGATCCACTAAAAATAATTCACCTTTATAGATTCTTTCAGCACTTCACCTTTACCTCTAAATGCATGAGAGGGGTTTCTGCCTTCTATGGACCACAGTTCAAAGACCACACTACTTACTCATAAGTCTGGCTCCCAATAAGGGGCTCAATTATCAGACTTTCACTTCATTTACCCCTACGCTCTACTGACCTCACAACTCTCTGGCCTCATTGGGATGCCCGATCCGTTGATCCTGACGCTTTCTTACTCTCTCGCCTTCCTTGTGGCTTCAATCTTCTCCTGATCAAGCTGTGGCTCCTTCATCAGTGCCATATTCACTACTTTAAAAAGTTACTACCTCCCTTGTTTCCTTTCCCTCATATTACCCTTGTCCCTAAACTCCCAACCTGGTTAAACTCAGCCATTTCCTTACACTGAGTTGTACCTGAGCATCTCTATACTACCAGAGGGAAAAAAAACATCTTGTCATAACTGGGCTGATTGAATGATTGAACTCTCTTTAAACTAATGACCACAAATCTCAAATTTCATATCTTCTCTTATCTCCAGAAACCTCCAAAAAGCCTCACTTCAGACTGATGAATTTGCCTCACATGATACCAAGAAATAGGTGTGTTACAGCTCCCATGTAAACAAAACCCTTCAGTGTGCCCTGGAGAAACAGTCTATCTGTATAAATGGCATGTTATCTTTACTAATGTATAAATTAAAATAGAGTTCCATTCTACATTTAAGCCCAAACTGAAATAGCTCTAACGTCCACCACTAAGCTTTGTCAATCAGGGATGAAGTCTTCCTCAGATCATATTGACTTTTCTCAGCAACAATCTTCGACTGACATCTGTGAAATTATTTTCTTTCATCCCTTGTCTGATGTCTTCAGAACCACCTGATGGTAGCTCAGCACTAATAGTGACCATTGTGAGGACATCAATGTCTATTCCAGGGATGATCTTGCCACAGTCTCTTAAACTCATTAATCTCTGGAGGTTAAAACACTCCGATTCTCTGCAAGAGTTCAGGAGGGAAAGACGACCTCTGTGTCTCTGCAGCATGATGGTATAAATTGTTTCCATTTCGTCTACTCCTAGGTCATTCCTAGTTACTAAATACTCACGGTTACTCTCCTACCTAAAGTTTTCAGAGCTGTTATTTTTCCTTCTAGAAAAGAGATTGAGTATGAGATTAGTTTGTTTGTTTGCTTGTTTGTTTTTGTTTTGTTTTGAGACAGAGTCTTGCTCTGTCACCCAGGCTGGAGCGCAGTGGCGAGATCTTGGCTCACTGCAACCTCTGCCTCCTGGGTTCAAGTGATTCTCCTGCCTCAGCCTCCCGAGTAACTGAGATTACGGGCATGCACCACCACACCTGGCTAATTGTTGTATTTTTAGTAGAGACAGAGTCTCGCCATGTTGGCCAGGCTGATCTTGAACTTCTGACCTCAGGTGATCCACCCTCCTTGGTCTCCCAAAGTGCTGGGATTATGGGTTTGAGCCACTGTGCCTGGCAGGGATTAATTAGTTTTTTTGGTACTATTTTGCGCAAACAGAGAATCAGAGGGCATTTTGCCAGATATAATGTCTACTCCCCCAGTGATGGATGATAAAAGCCTGGTGGAGCCGGGTAAAAATCAGCTTGTTTCTCTGAGTCTCATCTTTAAAGGGTATCATGCGGTAGAAGTAAAGCCACTGACACTCCCAGTGAGAGCACTGGGGCTTGGCTTTTCATTTGTTAAATGAAAGGGTTTGATTAGATGACTTTTAAGGGTACTTTTAGCCCAGGAGCTTTAATTCTAATCAACATCTTGAATGATACTGCAAATGGCAACCTTTTAACAAGGTTTTAGGCTTCCTGAATAGAAAGTCCTAAGGAAGTAGACCAGAGGTCCCATCAATTTCCTGGTAAGAAAGCCAGTCAATAGAACAACCATACATCTAGGCTGTGATGCATCACAGCTGTTTAAGTCACAACTGAGTCAGTAGGCGATAATTTTGTATGTCTTGTCTAATAGGGGAAAACCGAACAATTCACGGCTGGGGTGGTGGGGGTAGGTATTATACCTCCTTCAAAGAATGATTTAAAAAGCAAGCAAAATACTGATATTAATTGCAGACACCAAGTATAGGACCTTGGGCATATCTCTCTGAGCATTGGTTTATTCCTTTATAAGATAGGCATAAACATAATTCGTATGTCTTTAATTGTTTTGAGGATTGAATGAGGATTGAATATTTAAAGTTCTTAGCACAAGTACTTAACAAATGCTGTCAACAATTTTGATTATATTATTTATTATAATTATTACTTCTGAATATTGAAATGAGAGTTTAAAGGAGGTTTTTTAAAGGTGAAGATAGATTTGGTGGTACAAAGTCTTTTCTGGTACCCCTGATGTCAGGGTATATAGTTACTTCCCTGCTCACCGTTAGCTGTAGTTATTAACCTCACATCCCACCTCTGCTCAACCCTCAAGGAGATTTCTTGTCTGTGACTCAAAATCATGGAAGACCTCATCTCCACTTCTGGTGCTGGGTCAAGGGGATATGAGAGATGTTGGTGTAGGCTTCCTGGGAGATGGAGTGAAGAACGAATGCTTCCCCTCACACCACAGCCACTGAGCTTCTCTCCTCCCCTGAAGATGATAGAAGGGGCTTCACTTATAAATGTAAATGCAAGCTTGGCTTGGAAAGGTCTCCACTTCCTCTGCCCAGATCCTGATTCCTCTTGTCTCTTGGCAGCTTGAATAATTGAAGAACTTACCCAGTATTCTAGAAACCTGTCAAACAATCACACTTTCTTTTAAACTTTTGTGTTCTGACAGGATCATGTAAATCCTGAAGACCCCAAGCCACAGATCCCCTTGCCTATGGCATTCTTGGCCTTTTGACTGATAATTAACCTATTGACTTTGTAGAAGCAGAGAGTGTTGGGCTTGACACTGGGAGAGCTGGATTCAAATCCTACTCTGCCATCAGTAACCGTGTGATTTGGGTAGAGAGATGTGCTTTCCTGAGCCTCGGTTTCTGATGAGTGAGATAAGGATAATAACAGTATCAAGGGTGATCTTGAACTCCATTTGTTGGTAAAAAAATACTTATGACACAACTTTAAATAAAAAGGAAATTATACAGTGTTATAGATGGGATGATCACATTTTTTGAAAAGGCCAATTATACCTGCACACAAAAAAGACTGAAAAAGATATTCACCAAAATGTTTATGGTATTATCTCTGGGCATGAGAGTGGCAAGTGATTTGTAATGATTTTCTGTGAAGATTATTGTTTCTGTAATTAGAAAAAAAACACACAAGAGCCAAATGAAAGGTATTTCCTTTTTTTTTTTTTTTAAAGTGTCTTCCTCACACTTTCTCTCTCACCTTTCTTGTGGCTTCAATCTTTTCCTGATCAAGCTGTGGCTCCTTCATCAGTGCCATATTCACTACTTTGAAAAGTTACTACTCCCTTATTTCCTTTCCCTCATATTACCCTTGTCCCTAAACTCCCAACCTGGTTAAACTCAGCCATTCCCTTGCACTGAGTTGTACCTGAGCATCTCTATACTACCAGAGGAAAAAAAAAAAACATCATGTCATAACTGGGCTGATTGAACTCTCTTTAAACTAATGACCACAAATCTCAAATTTCTTATCTTCCCTTATCTCCAGAAACCTCCAAAAAGCCACACTTTAGACTGATGAATTTGCCTCATATGATACCATATGAGGCATTTATTAAAAAAAAAAAAAAAAGATAACAGCTTCCTCAAGGTTTCTACAGCCTAATAGGAAGAGATGCTTATTCTCTCTGAGGGCTGACTCTGCCAGGCACTCTGGGAAGGACCAGCTGGGCCGCCCAAGCTGGCTACTTAGTCAGATTCACAAAATCCCTGCAGGCTGAGTGATGAGGAAGCCTTCAGCAAGGCTGTGGAACTTTAACTGGGTCTAAAGATGACAGTAACAACCCAGTTACAGTCTTTTGTTTCAGGCGGGTGTTGAGGTAACCCACTAGCATCAATTACTTTGGTATTCCAAAATGGTGGTGGCCCAAATCAGTAAATTAACTTTAAGCATCTTTAATGTGCCGGGTCTTGTAACCAGCACTATGAAAATTTTGTTCTATTGCCTATTATTTTATGTTTTCAAAATAAATGATAGAAATCTTTTTAACATTAGAATTAGGAATTTCACAAATGTTAAATGCATCCAAAAAGGAGCAGGATTTATATACATGCTGTCCAGATACACAGACTCACACATATATTTATATATTCATAGACATTCATATAGTTAATTTTATTCCTTGTCTGTTGCTACAGATACTAAAAGTGCAGGCTAAGGGGGAAAAATCTAGATTCATTTGAATCAGCAGTTGTGAAATTGGACTTAGCTCAAGAAGACAAGAACGTGGCCTCCAGAAAGCAATTTCCTCTGCGGCTTGGGAACAACTGCAGATGACCCCCTTGATATCTGACATAGGGAGTTTCCCAGTGTGAAGGGAGGGGCTGGCTAGAGGGGTCACGACTGGACAGCTTGGTTTGGCCAGAAGGTGATGGTGCCAACCCACCCCAGGAATGCTGGCGACCAAGGTGTTGGCTTCTGTTTGTCTCATTATGTTTAGGTATAGATAGTTACAAAATGTTCTGGAGGATGGGACATCCAGGGAGCTCACAGAAGATCAAAGTAGACTCCATTTGAGGAAAGCATGGCATGGTGGGAAGTCACTGAGCAGATCTAGGGTCTCTAATGAAGTGTTGCCATCTACCCATTCAGGTTTATCTCTGGTCCCTTCTCCCTGCACTCAACACTCAGGCAGACTGAGCTACTGAATATGCATGTGCTTTCTGAAGTCATCGTGCCTTTGCACATGTTACAACTTTTCCATACAATGTGCTGCTTTGCCTTCTTCTGGCAAACTCACCTTAATCATTGACAGCTCAGTTCAAGCTCCTTTTCCTTATTCTTGTTTTAATTTGGCTTTTTTTTTCATAATTTCTTGCATGTTTAAAAATGATATTTATTCACTTAAGTCTTTGAATATTCTAAACCCAATTATTATTATTATTATTACTTTTTTTTTTTTTTTTTTTTTTTTTTTTGGTACAGAGTTTCGCTCTTGTTGCCCAGGCTGGAGTGCAATGGGATGATCTCGGCTCACTGCAGCCTCTGCCTCCCGTAAACCCAATTAAAGTCTCCTAAAAGAGTGTTCTATAACATTAATTTCATCTGGTGTGTGAATTCATGCTCTGAATTGGCTATCTTCTGAGCTTCAGATTTCTTCCTATGTTTTAGAATTGGGCTTTGCAGTCTCACTTTATGTTATGTTCAATTTTTTTGTGTATTATTTTCTCTCTTCTTCTGTGCTCACCCATTTGTATCCAGCAGTTTCCCCCAGCCTAGAGCCAGGTTTAATGGAAGTTCAGGGTTTATGCTCCACAGTGGCCTCAGGAACATTCCAGACCCAGTCACCAGGCCAGTGGGCACCTTGGTTCTGTTCCTCATCATGAGTTTCTGCCTTTCTTCTGTGGTGTTCCTAGCTCATGGCTCCTGTGAAATGGTAGACTCAGGTAACTGAGAGCAACAGGTTTTTGTTTTGTTTTGTTTTGTTTTTTTTTGGTGAGAGGGTGGTGTGGAATCTTGCCCCTGCCTGACTCTAAGCAGAGACCCTGCCTACACTCCCCTGCCCCGAGACCTCTGTTTGCTTCCACACCCACCCATAGCCACAGGCACATAGCTCTATCAGCTTGTTACTGAGTGTTTTTGTCCCACTTTTAGTCTACCAAAAATGGATCTTGGTTTTCACAGGGACTCTGCCTTTTCGTTCTCCTTTTTGCATTTCCTCTGCCACTGCTCTGTACTTTGAGCGGAGGAAACACGTGGATTTTGGAGTGACTGCCACCTGGACCGGAGGCTCTTCCCTTTTGAAATGCTGAATGTTTTCATATGTCTGGAAATGGTTCTCTGATAGAAGCCATGTCCCATTCAGTCCCAGACAGAAAGACTTTAGTGAAGTTTTTCCTTGTCTGCTTAAGAGTCCCAATAGTTAGTGTGAGAGAGGACTGAACGGAAGGTACAGGGAAGTGGCTGCGAGTGTGGGAATTTCACTTCTGCTTAGGAGCAGCCTTAGCAGTCTACTGCCTGGATGTCTGCTGAGAATCAGAGGGCATTTTGAATCAGAGGTTGCCTTAGCAAATCCCTTTCCAGCTGGTTAGTGTGTCCTATGTCCAGCCCCCGCTCTACATATAGCACGCTGTGCAGGGAGCCTGAGTGGCCATAGCTGGAGGAGTGTCCACCTCCCCACCAGCTGCTCAGAGGCCTCTTTGCATCTCTAGTCCTTGTTCTGATCCAAGGGACATTAGGGAGCCAAGGGGCTGGGAGGGAGCAGAGGCAGTGTGGCATCCTACCTGCTCCATCATAGATCTCTGCACCTGGGGGATGGGTGGGCGTCAACAGCAGGCACTTCCCCAGTGCCCTTGCTCTCCTCTCGCCTGCACAGCTCCCTGTGTAAATGCCTCAAGCTTCAGGTAGGTGGTGGCTCCCATCTCTAGCATAGACTCAATCTCTTCACACTGGTTTTGTCCTTTCAGAAGGAGATTGGCTGAGGAGGAGATTCAAGCAACGTTGTATCATGGAAGTGTGCTTGACATTATGTCTTAAGTATCTCTGCGTGCTTTACAGAACTTAGAACTTACAGAACTTAGAACACGCAAGATATACAACAGATATTTAATTCTCATTTGATTGATTGACAATCCAAGTGATTTTTCAATTTGAAAGCAAAAGGCTTAATTTCTCTTTGCAACATGTAAATGCAAACACACGATGTACGGCCAGTTCTCTGGTGCTTCATTTTAGAGTAGTTCCTGGACCACAGGACCACTCCTGTGACTAGGAAATCCAGAGGTGAAATAAGCCACAGACAACTGGATCTGGGTATCAAGTCAGGCTCCAGGGCCCTGTCTTGTGTTTCATGGCTCTGCTCTCCTCCTGCGTTGGTCTTTCTTCTCTGCTGATGGGAGGTGGTAGAACACAGTGCATAGCTCTGCAGCCAGACTGCTGAGTGACCATGAACAAGTTAACTAGCCTCCCTGGGCCTTAGTCTTATCATCTAAAAAACCACCATAATAGTGGGAATCCTCCCATGGGTTGTTGTGAGGCTTACATTAGTGAATATGCGTAAGCCTTTAGAGTAGTCCCTGGACCATAGTAAACACCATGAGAGGTTTGCCATTGTTGGTGTTATTGTTGTCTGTGCAGACTGGGGAGAAGGACATGGCCTTAGATTAAAACTAATATCTCAGCCCAGAGGAAAGAAATTTCTTTTCGTCCCTGTCCATGTACATAGCTCTCCAGGGGGACTGTCACTACCCTGCTTGATTCACATGCTAAGATCTTGACCCCATTGCCATGGACAGGGTTGATAGTTACTGTGATTGACAGTTCCACCATAATTACAAGGACTTGGGGACCAACAGTTCCCCAAAGGAGCAGCAGACATTTTACTATTCGCTCATCCATTTACTCAATGAATGTTTATTAATTGTCTCTTATGGACCAGGCACTGTTCTGAGCATTGGGCTAATATCAGTGCCAAAGAACATGAAGAACTCTCTGCCCTCATAGAACTTATGTCTCACTGATAACAAGAGGAGACACATAGTGCGTAAACAAAAGACAGAAAATTTTGAATGTAGTTAAGTGCTATGTTTAACATAAAATAAGATGATGTCGGGAGAGTGCAGAGTGGCCAGAGATAGCATCTCTCAGTAGGCCACCTTGAAACGGAGACCTAAATGCCAAGAAGGAGTCAGCCATGCATAGATTTGTGGTAAGAGTGTGCCAAGCAGAGGGAGCAATTAGTATAGTGGCCCTGGAGCAGGAATGAGCTCTGTGTGTTTGAGAAAGAGAGAGGAAGACTGTGTGACTGCAGTCCACTTGGTGTAATGGAGAGGGGGATGGAGCGAGGCTGGAGGGGGAGCATGACCAGGGAGAACTCGCTGGTACTTTTAGGATGCTGATGTTTTTCCAAAGTCATTCTGGCCGCCATGAGGGGAATAGATGGTAGAGAGGCAAGAGTGGATGCAGGAGAGGAGTGAGTGTCCCAGTGAAAGATGATGGCAGCTGGGCTAGCAGGCAAGTTGCAACTGGAAATGGGTTCAGGACCTGACTGGAAGCAAGGCTGGCAGGATTGGCCAATGGATTAGACATAGGGAAGGACATCAATGATGACAACTGGGCTTATGATTTGAACAACTAGGTGGATAGTGCTGTCCTTTAACAAGAAGGGGAAGATTGAAGTGGGTAAAGGGAAAGCAAATCCAGAGCTCTTTGTTAGATTTGCTGAGTCTAGATTTCTGTTAGATTAGTAGGTACTTAGATAGATGCAACTGGAATTCTGGAGAGACAGAAGGGCTGGGAATGCTGTCATCAGCCTGTAGATGGTATTAAAATCATGTGGCAGGATGAGCTTACTTAAGGAGTGGAGAAGAAGAACAAGGAAGAGCTCAGGAGGAGGGAAGGGATGCTGGATAGAATTAAAAAGTGCTGCCTACTCCCTTTCCCTTTTCTGAGAAAGGAGAGACGTCTTTACTGTGAAATTTTTCTTGAGAGCCTTGACCAAAAAGAGGAAGAATTCCTTTGGTCCTTCTGGTGGCTGGACCAGGAGAAGGAGAGCTTTATCAGGCTACCTGAATGTTCCCAAAGCTGAACAAATCAGCTTTCAACAATCTTGCTTAAGTTTCTCAGGCATTCATTTTATTAGTTAATTGGTTTTTGCTCCATCTCTTTTGGGGCATTTTATTGTTGTCAAGCTCATCATGGTTTTGTATCTTTTAGGAGTTATTTAACATTTATGAGCTCTGGATTTGCACATTTTTTTTTCATAAAGGGGTCTTTTGGAGGTCCTGCGTCCATGGGGGGAGCTTGGGGGGTGTCAGGGAAGAGATGACTGAAACTCTGTCTCCCTAATTTTAACAGTACAGTTGTACATTTTGCTATTTTATATAGCACTCTGCGTATGATTATGCTGTCATTTGAAGATAGATTCCACAGCCACAGATGTATGAAAACCACAGTGGTAGAGCATCAGCTTGTTGAGGACAAGGACCCTGTTTCACTGTAGATTCTGTTCCCTCTATAGACACTCTTGGCAGCTGGGGGAATCAGTAAACTTTTGTTGAATGAAGTCATAGTAAAGTACAAAGGCTTGAAGGGTAGCGGCCCTAATTTTGAGGCTATGTTCAACAGGGATGCAGATTCTCAGCCATCTGATTGTACAGCAGAGGCGACTGCTGTTTCTGCCAAAATGTCCTATGCAACATGGAAATGATTACACTAAAATGCAGTTGGAGATGCCAGTAATCTCCTTGGAGCAGACAAGTAAACTTGGAAATCATTTACGAATGATGCACCAAATCTGTGTGACATCTGTGCATTGAACGGGGAAAATGTATTTCTCCCAAGAGGCTTTTCATGTGATGAGATTGTGGCTTTCAAGTGACGAGGGGAGAAAACAGGAGGATCTTGCCAGGCAGGCCTGGCCTCAGACTTTGATTTGGGGCATCCTCAGTGGGATATGAGGATGCTGGAGCTGGTTGTGCTGTCCAGCACAAGCCTGTCACTCCTCAGAGACTGTTCTGGTGTGATCTGGGGATATGCATGTTGGCCACCACTCAGCTGCTGGGAGGATGTTTTCTCAGCTTTGCCTTTGCGAGGCTGGTGATGGGGAGCTGCCCTTCAACAGGCTTTGATGACAAGCCAAGAAGCTAGGAGAGCCTGTCCCAGACACACTCTCCTGGCATGACTTATGCTTGGGCTCCCAAGCCAAGAAGGAGGCGGTTCCAAGTGGTCACATTGTGTGTGAGGGCACATTCCCGAAGGCCTTGCTTAATTCAGATCTTACATAATTCAAGACTAATTTTCCTATAAATTACTCTTTGATAAACAAAATTATTAAAGTGTATGAAGCGGAGAGAATGCATTCTTGAAGTGTGTAAATTTCAACTCTTGGAACTCAGGGCATATCACATGCCATTAGTGGGCAGCCATGTCAGCAGCAGAATTTCCATTATCCTTGGATTGATACAACTCCTTTTTTTTTTTTTTTTGCAAATTTAAAGGTACAATTGCTTTAATGCCACTTTTATTTTTGTAGCATTCTCTCTAGTCATTCTCACAGCGCTGGCTGCTACATTGAAATTTCAGTGTACAGTGGTAGTTGTCTGGTTTTCTTCACAGGGTGTTATTGCATCTTGTTTCTGTTCCAAAATGTTATTGCTGCTAGCATTATTATCACTTAATGAATGCTGGGATAATGTTGGTATAAGATATTAAAGAGATTTTAAGTTATAATAATAGGAAATGTTAAATAACCCACACAAGTTTTAAGAGCCAAAACAATAGCATGATTTGCCAGATATTTTAAAAGATGGTGGGTTTTTCTACTTAATAGATAAAATGATTTTAATCTGTTGTATTAATGTAAAACATAGTTCATAATTCATTCAAGCTTAGAAATGATGTGATCCCAGAGGAATTTGCTTGGAAGATTCCCATTACTTCAAAATTTGTGTTGAAAGTTAAATTTTATTACTTTAAAAAATTTGATGGACTTTCAAATTTGGAGAATTCAAATTTATATAAATGCAGCTATGCTACTATTAGCTACAATTTTTATGGCTGTAGGTTATGGAACAACTAACTCAAAATTTCTTAAACACATGAGGGAATGTATCATAAGGATACTGGCATGTCTTAGGGAAGCCACAGCTCCTGTACCTGAGCTTCAGGAACAGCTGGAACCAGGGACTTTGAAGCTGTCAGTGCTGCTTTTCCCCATTTTTTTTTTTTTTTTTGCTTTTGCTTCTCTAAGTTTATTGAAACTTCATTATTTTCTCCCACAAAGAGGGCTACATAATTTGTGTTGCCCTGTGCAAAATGAAAATGCAGGCCCATTGTTCGAGAAGCAGAAAAAAGCTTCTATCCTGCTTTCACCGTCTTTCTTTAAACCTGTCATGATGCTTCTAATTTGCTATTTAATTCTCCTCTCCCTGGGGCATTAGGCCTCTTGTAGGGCAAGTGGAGATCCTCACAGGCCTCTGCATGGGCACTGTGACTCAGCAAGTGATATGTGTGCATCCTCTGAGCCTTCCCATTTCTCTACATGGGGAGGAGGGTGATAGCCAAGAAGCCATCTGGTAGAGCAGGGAGGGAAAACTTGTAAGTTGGGGCTCCAAGCCCCAGGTGCATGACCATTGTCTCATTGTACTTCATTTAGTGTTAGTTTCCTGGGGCTGCCTTAAAGGAGCACC